>NC_000002.12:21752179-21903694 GCF_000001405.40 Homo sapiens | reverse complement strand
GACATATACACCATGGAATACTATGCAGCCATAAAAAATGATGAGTTCATGTCCTTTGTAGGGACATGGATGAAATTGGAAATCATCATTCTCAGTAAACTATCGCAAGAAGAAAAAACCAAACACCGCATATTCTCACTCATAGGTGGGAATTGAACAATGAGAACACATGGACACAGGAAGGGGAATATCACACTCTGGGGATTGTTGTGGGGTGGGGGTAGTGGGGAGGGATAGCATTAGGAGATATACCTAATGCTAGATGACGAGTTATTGGGTGCAGCGCACCAGCATGGCACATGTATACATATGTAACTAACCTGCACAATGTGCACATGTACCCTAAAACTTAAAGTATAATAATAAATAAATAAATAAATAAAAATAAAAATTTATATATACAATGCATATTTCCTTTTTTCACATTTTAAAATAATTTTAATCATATATCTACTTTGCAACTTATATTTTACCACACTCATGTCTTGGATATCTTTTGGCTGACTTATATTTTGAAAACCTATGGTCTATACACATACACACACACACGAGTATTTTTGGTAGATTTTTTGGAGGCTATCTTTAATTAATTGCACGGGAAAAAAATCTAATGTTATTACTAGCTTATATACATAACAATTTTTTTCAACATTTTATCCTGAATAATTAACTGATTCCCCACTGGTGTGTGCTGCTTTCTTTTCATACTTAGATTCGAATAAACTCTGTATTGTAGTTTAAGGCTAACTAACATATTCAGTTAACATGTGTTTTAATTGTTGAACCAATTCAACTATCTTTTAGTTGTAGTTTTGTAATTACATATCCACAAAAACTTCGGTAATTTTTTTTATCACTCATTGTTGCTTTCTGTTTTAAAATTATCCATGTTTTCTTCCAACTACACTTTCAAACCACTTTTTCAAGCCTCCCTTGTCCCTGTCAGAACAAATGAAACAATCTAATTTAAATCTTGATTGAGATTACCTTAAATCTCTGTATTGATTTAGGAAGACATTCATTCTATAATATTTGATATTCCCATCTGTAAACATGGTATATATCTCATCATGTTTTATATGTCTGGTAATTTTTTCTTTGTTTAATTTCCATAAGTTACCCACATTTCTTATCAAGTTGTTTCATGTATTCTATGTCTGGTTGCATTATGAATAGCATATTTTTCATTCCAGTGTCCAATTTTTTATTGCTGGTATATTGGAAAGGTTTCAATTAACTTCATAATAATTTGAATCACATTTCAGGTAATTATCTTGTGTTTCCACAGAAACAAGTCATATATATTGATACTTGTCTTCTCATTACCAATAGCTGAAGATTTTATTTGTGTTTAAGTCTCTTTATCTTGATCAGTGTTTAAAACAACATGAGACAGTAATAGGGATATTAGGCAATTTTCTCATAAGCAACATTGAAGTTAAAATGCCTTCAGTATTTTCCAGTAACCATGATATTATCCTTAATAACTGAGAATTAACATCATGTAAGTTTAAAATAGATGTCATGTCGAAAATTACATCTATCCATGCTCTTTTTAAAAATAATTTATTTCCTAATATCAATAATGAAATAATCCTACTTGGCTGTCATAAATTATTCTACTAACGTACTGTTTATAAATAATTTATTTAGAATTTTTGCAACTGCATTCATAAGTTTTATTGGTCTATAAGGTATATTAATTAAAGTTTGCTTTTTCAGTGATTTTAGCTTCCTAATTTGTTAATCTTTCTATATTTTGCCAAGTAGTCAAATATTTTACATGATATTAGGGTTACTTTATAAAATAATAATCTAAAAGGAATCCTTAGTAAAACTGTCTGACCCTAATAAGTCTTTAATTATTTTTCATTCTTTCTAATAGATATTAGACATTTTTGTTTTCTAACATTTCCTGAATCACTTTTTTATCATTTAAGAAATTCCTGTAAAAGTAACATTTTCATTCAAGGTTCTTGGATTCATTAGCCTAGATTTTTACATAATAGTTTTTACTACTTTTTAATGATCACTGTATCTGTTGAAATATAGCTTTTCATTCTAATGCTATATATCCATGGGTTTGCTACATTGTTCTTAATGAAAACAGCAAGCTATGTGTCTATTTAATTCATTATACTCTTTATTATTCCACAGAATCATCTCTTCAACTTATTTTTCAAATGTCCTTTCCGCATATATCAAATCAACTAATTTTGGTATTTTTTCTTTCTCTGATGCTCTTAGGCTTGTGTTATTTCATAGAAGTGAAAATCTTAGATTAGTGACATTTATTTTTGTTAATGAATAATAAAAGCATTTAGGGCTGTACATTTGCCTCTGAGCATAGCTTTGGAAATATTGTACAAATTTTGATAAAAAGAATTTTTATGGTAGCTGCATAGTAACTGAATAGTTTCTCCCTCATTTATCCAAGTTATTCATAATAAATATTGCATTTTTTTCTGCATTTGTTTTGTTCTTTAAACTTTTATGTATACTTTCCAGTAATAGGCCTCAGTGGCATTGAGGCCAGAGAGACTTTTATGTTCATTTTCATATTTTTGTAACATTGTAGTGTTTTATCCCTGGTCTAAAAAGTGATTGTTAAAGTGACTATTTCATCAGTCCTTAAAAAGATATACTCTGTGTTTATAGGGCATATATTTCTGTATAAAGACTTTAACTGCACTTTAATAACAATTGTGTTCTGTTTATAAAACTCCAATTTTTAAATATTTTATTCTTTTCTAGTATATGAATTTATTTCTTTTAATACTACTTATTCATTCAAAAGCTGAGTGTTTGTATCAACTTAGCCTTGTATTCATAATAGGCTTTGTTTTATTTATTTGAGAAAAAATATTTCATGCATAATGATTTTTCACTATGGGGTTATTATAATTTTTCAGTGAAAAACTTCTTTATTTATCCAGTGTAGTCTGAAGGTTAAAAAATATTGATGAATTTGGTCTTATTTCTGTCACATTGTTTTTTGATTCTTTGTTTAAAAATTTGTGCATTTGTTCTGTTCCTTTTTTTCTCTTGCTACATATACTAAGTTGTTAATTTTATAAAAACGTACTAATGATTTTGAAAGAAAAAAGTGTCTTAAGTAAAACTAATAATGACAGTTTGATTTCCAAAAACTAATTCCCAATATTTCTAAGATTATAAAAGTTAGGAATAAAATATTGATCTGTTGTCTTCATTATTTCAGGTAAGTCACTTTTTTCTTTGCTATTTCATTTTGAAGTTTTAGATGTAGATCTCCATTCATAAGAGATGTGGTTATCATTTGAATTTCAAGAATAAGTTTAATATTTAAATTTTAATTTGTTACCAAAATTTAAATAATTATAAAGGTATCTTTATCTCTCTTTAGTGCTCAAGACTAGGCTTTTCATATCATGACTTTCTAAATTAAGTTAGTATTTCTCAATTTTTTTCTTTGCTGGCTGAGATTATTAATATTTTTTTAGTTGAAACCATGGGATTATATTACCTCTCTTTGGGCTTCTAGAAATAGCTATTTTATTGGGTACATATTTATTTTGTTGAAGCCTTTCTCCTTAAATTTATATTCATATTGCCCTAGGAATCTTTGTTTGTTTGTCTGTGTGGTATGTTTTGACATTTTACCTTGGGCAGGAGAAATCTGAAACCACCTTGCTTTTTGTTCATTTAAAATCTATCCCTTTTTTTATAGCTGAATTTTTAAGCACTTTTTGTTGCAAACAGGAACATCCTTTTTTTTTTCCACCCATAGACCCCATTGGTCTTTCTGTTCAAGTAATTTTTTATCCATTATATGCCTCATTATTTCTTTCTTTATTTTCTTCTCTGTGTATACCTATTTTTCATAGGTTGGATCTCATCTCTTCTATTTTATATGTAATGTCTGCTTTCTAGCCATTTTGATATTTTTGTTTTTCCTTTGAATGAACGGAGAGCCTTTTATCCTCCTCCTCTGCATGATTCAATTTCCTGAAGGGTCAATTCTAAAGATTAATACCTCTGATTTTTACTATTAACCTGTCTTCAGAGCAGAGTTTCTCAACCCCAGCATTATTGACATTGGGGCCAGATAATTATTTTTGTGAAGGGCCATCCTGTGCATTGTGTAAAATTTAGGCGCATCCCTAGCCTATACCTCCTGGAGGCCAGTAGTATCCTTGCAGTTGTGACTGTCAAAAATATCCCCAGACATTGTCCAACATTTGGGGGGAAGGAGAGGGAATTGTAAAATATCCTCAGTTGAGGACCATTTATTAAGACTTTGACAGTATTTTTATATCTTACCTTCTCTTTATATGAATCTTCATCTGAGACTTTGCTTTCTCTGACTCCCTGTTCTTGTTTCATTGATGCTTTAATTACATGCTTGTTTGGACATTTGCCTCTAAGCATAGCTTTGGAAATATTGTACAAATTTTGATAAAAAGAATTTTTATGGTAGCTGCATAGTAACTGAAGAATTTCTCCGTCATTTATCCGAGAGTTATTCATAATAAATATTGATTTTGTTTGTCTGTTGCCCACCAATATTTCTATAGTGGGCTTTTCTTAGGATTTCTCATCATTCATATCCATTTCTTTCCATGGAAACGGGTAAGGAGACACGTTCAATCTGTAATTCATTTATACTATACAAAAGAGAGCAACCGCAGCATTCAATACTTCCAGCTTTTCTAAGAACAGCTCTCGCTTTGCATTGCTGTTAAGGAGAAGAGGATAAGAACATGCCCAGCAGTACAGTGCCCCGCTTTTCAGATCACAGGCTACTTTCCCATCCCTTCGGTTTAATGGCAGAGCAGATCCTCTCTACCTCCTCTCTTTCCCTTTCTTCTCTCCCTTCCTCTCCTTCTGCCTTTCCCTGTCTCTTTTCTTGTCTTTCATCTTTCCTCTCTCCCTATGCATGTGTGAGATGGTAGCACAAAACTTTATAGTAATATTTGATAGCTGATAAGTAAGCAGAGCTGTGGAATGCTTCGGCTAACTCTGCCACATGTACTGCCTCATTTAAACATCACAACTCTTTGACATGAGCTCTGTTATTTTGTCCATTTTACAGATAGAAGATGTATACTAAGAAAGATTAAGTTAAGGGATTTAGCTGATATTATAAATGGTGGAGCTAGTATTTAACTCAGGTTCCTCTGACCTCCAGATACCAGGCCACTGGCCACCATATTACTCCGCACAATGATTTCCTTAGCCCAGGAAATAGTCACCATCAGATGCAAGTCAGGTAAGGATGAGGAGTTGTGGCTACTTAGCTTTCTACTTAAATGGCCTTCTCTGTCCTCCAGCAAGGGGCTAAACCACGCAATGAATCAAAGGCTTTCACTAACTTTTTCCTCAATAAATGCATGTTTTTGTTCGGGCAGCAGCCCATACACAAAGCATGATTTTTTTTCAAGCCTAACATAGTCCTATTATTAGTGAATATCCTTCTAATATTTTGACCTGAGTTCTCATTTGCTCCTAAATTCTAGGGGTTTATAAGGTTTTCATAAATTATGTAATTTTGTTGGTACTTTTATGGGAACATGGAAGAGGTTCTATCAGTCACTGATAACATATATTTAAAATTTTAATAAAAATATTGTAAATTTCTTGACAATCTTCTTGAATACTAATAAATATATTATTACTCCATGAAAATAGTACCTGTTTTTCATGTATGTATTGCATTAAATTAAATTTTTATTAAATTAAGCATGCCGTATTTTAATAAAATAATGAATGGTTTTTAAAAGGGACCTAAAACCATGTACAAGTGCTTTTTGTGAATCCAGTTGAAGAATTCTGGTGTCTAAGGCTAACACATTGTCACAGGACAGCCCTTATATCCTACTTTGGCTCAAAAGTTATAAATATACATGGGAAACTGAATAAAGATTTTCAACTTCTCATCCTCTGACTGAGTGACATTTTTATTTAAAAATGTCTCTTTTCTTATTTTTAACAAGATATTCAACTTGTAAAAATAATTCTTCAACTTTGTATCCATGCAATAGACTTACATTTTTCCAGAGAACAAAATCTTTCACAGAATTGCATAAAGAAAGCTCCCTGAGCTCTAGTGGGATGAAGGATCAGTAAGATCCCAATCCTGGAATACTAGCTTTTTATTCTCTGGTATGGGGTTAACGCTGGGGCATATCTCTGCACCTGAGCTACTAATAGGAAACCACATCAGAAAGTCCATAGGGTACTAGTCTGTCTATGCCCAGAAATTGTGTTAAATCCCATTTAGTCTCCTGAGTAGCCAGTGCCCACTCCCTCTTCTTCATGGCTAATGAAACCTTGTTTTTTTTCTGGGATAGCAACATGCCCAGCCCAGCCTATGGATTATAATTAATCTGAATCAGTCTTCAATGGCCATATCATATATTTTTGTCTGAGATCTATGGAGAAGTCACTGGAATGACTAATTTCTCATTTCTGAGAAAAATGTTTCTTCCTTGATTCTGAGAGGACAGGATAGACTTTAGAGATATAATGCCTTACCCTTACTCCCTCTCCTCCCTTCTCACAGTCAGGCACTGGTGCAGCTGTCTCCTGTATATGAGACAAATACACGATGGTGCAAACCATCCACTGAGGATGACAGAGGAGAAAATAGTAGGAGCCTTGGTTTCTACCCCCAGCACCCAAGCAAATACTAAAACCTCACAACTCAAACCTCTAAGTATGTGAGAATAACAAATACCTGTGTTCAAGCCCTATCACTCAGATTTGTAATACTTGCAGCAAAACAAGTTCTTAATTGGTATGGTTCCAAAGATTTCTTCTCTATCTCTATCTTACTTTTGAACTTTAGAAATGACTTCTACATACAATAATGGATTATTAATAAAGAAAGAAATTTGAAGAGAGTTGTAGCCATTTTGTAGGATAAAATATCCATGGAAACTTCAGCTGTTCTATGAGGAAAGCTTCCCCTCCCCTCCTCTCACAGTCAACGATCTCAAGAATAGACACTTAATTCTCATCATTCATGGTAGCTATTTTCTATGCAGTGCCCCATGAAAAAATGAACCAGTGAATACTGAAACAGTGCTTCTGGGAGTTTTTAAAATATTTTTATATTATACATTTATAGTTTTATATATTTTATATATTTATATAATATCCTCCCAGATTTAACTCCAAACATAATACATCCTGGGAGATTCTATTTTCTGTATCTTACAAAAGAGAAACAAAGTTCAGGATGTTGAAGTGACTTTCCTGAAGCTGTACCACTAACAGGTGCCAGAATTGGATTCAAATCCCCTTTAACTGGCTCTGAGCTGGAGCTTCTTGCACTGCATTGCACTGCCCCCAACCTTCCCCCTCCCCAGGTCATCTCTCTGTCAAGGCTGAAACAAGAAGGCAGAGTGTTGTCTTGATTCACCTCAGCTGGGAACATAGTGGGTGAGTGAAAATTAAATTTTTCACTGCTTTGAGCATGTCTGTGAATGACTGCAATCTGCAAGTATTGATTCTGGAGTTATAAATAAATGTTAATGAGTAGGCAAATTGCAAATAGAGAATTCCCAAATAATGAGAATCCACTGTAATTGTATTTTTGTTCTTTTCTCAGTGAAATGCATCTGGTGGTACCCGTCTTGAATATCCCTGCTAACAGCTTTGCTATCAAAGGGTAAGCTGACTTCCAACCTCTGCTTCTCTGCATGGATGATTTCTTGCATTTTCTTTCAACCTATGTGCCTCGATGCATGCACACAAATGCTCATACACATACACACAGATGTAGCCATATAATACCCATACTATATTATGTTCTCCAATGCATAACTGTGCCATTTAATTCCTCATTGACTCAGTACACAAAGGAGTGAGTGTATGGAAGAGTCAATATCATCTCTACTCAAATGTAGTAAAAATGAAGCCTTCTGGTGCTTGCCCAGAGCTGAGGGGTTCTGCAAATAGGGAGTCACTGTAAATTGGCCAAGGTTATTTTGGGGGATGACAAAAATGTTCTGAGTTAGATTGTAATGATGGTTGCACCACTCTGTAAATGTACTAAAAATTATTGAATGGTGCACATTAAATGGGTGGATTTTATGCTATGTAAATTGTACCTCAATAAATGTGTTAATAAAAAAAAAACCATGATGCATCCGCTACGCATGCACAGGCCTGCAGAACGATGGGAGGACATATCTTCACTGGTCAGGAATTTACACTCGCTGAGGGTTTTCCATGTACAGTTGCCACATTCTTGTGCAGCTTTATTATTCACCTGTCACAAGAAAGCTGCAAAACTCTATGTGCTGGCATGAGTTGGAAATGTCTATTAACTTGTCAGCAAATGAAAAGGGTGAAGGATTTTCATCTCTGCAGATGAATTGGAACAGGTGCAGCATGTCTCCAAGATCGCTAATTAAAACTACTCAGGACTTATATTTATTTTACATGAAAAAGTTTTACATGTGTTTGAAAACTGTATGGAAATACAGCTTTTAAAAGTTTGACTATCCAGTCAAGATTTATTTCTGCTTTATATCAGTTCATGAATGAAACCCTTGCTAGGGCATGTTTCACATTCACTTTCATACACTGGCTTATTTTATATTTCACATACCCATATAGCAAATGTAAGCTATATTTATTACCAAGAGGATTTGAGTTAGTTTGGGCATGTGCATATACTTTCAATTTGTGCCACTTCCATTTGACTCCATGGAATGATACTGATATTGTTTTTTATATAATCTTTGGAGAATTTGAGGTTCTTGCCCTCCCAAATTTTGTGCATTTGTTTGTAGTTCAGGGAAAGGGAAATAAGGTGCATGGAAAGAAAAGGAACAATTAGATGGGTCTATGCTATACATTCTTGAAAAGTGTCTGAATCTAAGCATAAGAAAACCTGTATTTAAAGAACTTATGAAATTTTAAACAAGCCAGTAAGCCTATCCGTTCCTTAGATACTTAGTCTGTTAAGGCCTAGCTCAAATGTCACTTCTTTCACAAAGCTTCTAGAGATCTCTTTAGCTGGAATCAACATTTCCTTCTTCTATCCTCCCATAAAACTCTGCACCCCTAATACATTTTATAGCACATTGGAGGAGGCATGCAGGGGTTGGCAAGTTGAGAGACAGTGTAGTATTATGCTGAAGATTTGGATCCTGAAGTCAAAGAGTATCTGGGATGAAATCCCAGTCTTACCACTTACTAGCTGTATAACCTTGGACAAGACTCTAAATTTCTCGTCTACAAAATTAGAATAATAATGGTGTTTGCCTCACTTAGTTCTGTGATGAAGGTTAAGTGGAAGAAGCCAAGTAAAAGACTTCAAATACTGACTAGGACAGGTTAATTGCTCCAGAAAGGATGGTTGTTGGTATTATTTACCAGGAAGGCAGTGCAACATAGTAAAAGGAATTTGAAAAAGAAAAACTGGGTTGAGTTCTAATTCTACCAGTTGCTGGCCCTGTGATCTGGGAAAATCAGTTAATGATTTGACCATTAAGTCTTTCATCTATAATGTTGCCTAGGTCAAACAGAGGTGCTAAGAGCCAAATGCTATTGAGGGTATGAACATGTTTTATAAGGGAAAAAGCATTGTGTAAGTCTTAGATATTATTTGGGGAAAACTGCGTATATAAAGAAAATATATAATTTGTAGACCGTTAGACCCATACTTAAGTTCTGGAATTATCATTTGCTAACTTGGTGGCCTTAATAAATTACTTGTCTCTGTGTGTCAGTTTTGTCACATTAATGAAAAGATAAAACTGCTATTGTAAACCTAAAATAAAACAATATTTAAGTACAGAATTCACCATCAGTTACATAGCAGGTCTCAAACTGCTGGGCTCAAGCGATCTGCCGACCTCAGCCCCCCAAAGTGCTCGGACAACCTGGGCAATACCATTCTGGAGGTAGCAATGAGCAAAGATTTCACAGTGAAAACGCCAAAGCAATCACGATAGAAACAAAATTTGACAAATGGGATCTAATGAAACTAAAGAGCTTCTGCACAGCAAAAGAAACTATCAACAGAGTAAACAGACAACCCACAGAATGGGAGATTTTTGCAAACTATGCATCTATAACCAGCTATCTATAAAGAACTTAAATTTACAAAAAAAACTAAAAAGTGTACAAAGGACATGAACAGACACTTTTCAAAAGAAGACATACATGCGGCAAACAAGCATATAAAGAAAGCTCAACATCACTGATCATTAGAGGGATGCAAATCAAAACCACAATGAGATACCATCTCACACCAGTCAGAATAGCTATTATTAAAACGTCAAAAAATAACAGATGTTGGTGAGATTGCAGAGAAAAAGGAATGCTTAAACACTGTTGGAGGGAGTGTAAATTAGTTCAACTATTGTAGAGAACAGAGTGGTGATCCACAGTGTGGGATTCATCCCAGAAATCCCATTTCTGGGTATATACCCAAAGCAATATAAGTCATCCTATCATAAATACACATGCATGTGTATGTTCATTGCAGCACTATTCACAACCACAAAGACATGGAATCAACCCAAATACTCATCAATGGTAGAGTGGATAAAGGAAATGTACACATACACCATGGAATACTATGCGGCAATAATAATAATAATAATAATAAAAACTGAGAGTATGTCCTTTTCAGGAACATGGATGAAGCTGGAAGCCATTACCCTTAGCAAACTAACACAGGAACAGAAAACCAAATACCGCATGTTCTCACCTGTAAGTGGGAGCCAAAAGGTGAGAACACATGATCACATAGAGGGAAACAACAGACACTGGAGCCTGCCTCAGGGTAGAAAGTGAGAGGAGGGAGTAGATCAGGAAAAATAACTAATGAGTACTAGGCTTAGCAGCTGGGTCACAAAATAACCTGTATAACAAACCCCTGTGATACGAGTTTACCTATGTAACAAAACTGCACATTAACCCTGAACTTAAATCAAAGTTAAAATAGAAAGAAAAAATAAAAGGTAAAATGTTTAACAAAAAAAAAGTACATGGCAGAAATCAAATCATGTTTTTTCACTCCTTATCACAGTTTATTTTGTTAAATATGCATATGTCTGTCACTGATTTCCTGGAGTCAAAAGTAGACAGTGCTCTGCTTTGCACATTCCAAAACCCCGGGAATGAATTCACACAATACAGAAAGATTTCAGCCCCAGTTGTGAGTTGCTAGATAAGTACGGGGGCTGCAGCTCAACTTCCAGGCTTTAGACAGAAAACCGATAGGTTCTGGGATAGGTTTCCTTTGTCATATCTGAGGTTTTATTCAGGACTGAAATGAATTGCCAAATACAAAAGTACTCTGACAATTTCCAAGCCCTTTAATATAAAGATATGTGATTGCACAATGGCTCTCGCTATGTCAAGACAGAGAGCCCTCCGCCTGTTATCAGGCTTGCCCTGTACTTTTCTTTAGACTGGCCACCAGTTGGAGTGACACGTGGCATCATAAACAGAATTCCCTGGCACCGTGTGGGTTGCGGCAGGAACCAGCAGTCGGCCTCCTCTGATGGTACCCCATCTTGAAGAAAACAGGGCATATGCATCCCAGCTAGCTTGCTCCAATGTAACCACTAGCCCACAAGCTTCTAGGGAGTTGGGAGCTTATGGTTATCAGCACTACTCTTTCCTTTCACTCCTCAGCCCCAATGGTTGAGAAGTGATGAGGGTAGAGGACAAGCCTTGCCTGAAATGGTTTCTATCTGGCTAGATAGATTCTTTCCTGGTGCCTGTCTGCTCTTAGCAGGCTTAGGAAGCAGGGCACAATGTGGAAAGAAAGATCACAAGACTTGAAACTTGATTTTGGATGGAGTAATAAGAAAAATATGTGAATCATATCAATCAAAAAAAGTTTCTCTAAATAATTGTCATGACAACAGGCAGCAGCTGTGAGGTCTCAACTGACAGCGGCACAGTCCTGGACCCAACACCAAGTAACCACTGGTGGCCTCCAAAAGGTAGCTCAGCAAAACCAAAGATCAGTTCTGCCTGCCTTTCTGACATCTGTCACAGGTTAACTTGTTCTTGTAAAACCTTTTCCATGCCAGATCAGCCAGTTACCCGCAGTCACAGCTCCCAACAGTCAGCAAAAATAGAAAGCAAATGGAAGAATCATTAACATGGCAGAAACTATCTAATGCCAGTGGCTTCTTATGACAGTACCTTGATCCCAGCCAAGTGGACCACTGGCTGATATTAGCAGAACTAAACAGTGAAATGTGAGGATCAAATGGACAGAAGCTGAGGAGAGGGAAGTGAAAGTGAGCCCGGGAGGGACGGAGAGGGGATCCTCCCGCACAGCAAGTTCTCCAGGGAGAACAGGGCCTTGACCCTCGACCCACTGTTTGTCAAGTCAAAAAGTAAGAAAAGAAAAAAAAAAGAAAGAAGGAAAATAAGAAAAACTGCTATACTTAGTAACATGCAAGAATCATGCAATCAATTCAAACTCAACTAGTAAACCCACATCTTTCCGGAGAAAGAGACTTGGGCCATTTTCAAAGTCTTGCTTACGTGTGGCCACAGGAAGCAATATTATAAATATCCCCTTATGTACCTTTTTTTGAGCAGCTGGCCAGGCCCCGGGAGTATCAAGCATTAAACATTAATTTCTCCACCTTCTGGCTCTTTCCTACTCTGTGTCTTCTCCTTTCTTTCACTCTCAAGGCAGAAAGAAACTGGAGTCTGAGTTCCACTGTGAAAAGACAAGAGTTTCTGCAGCTTGCAGCTTATTCCATCCAGGCAAGCAGCATCGACTTCAGGTGCTTGGGGAAGCCATCTGTAGCTCTTGAGGCAATGAAACAGCGCTGAGAATGCGGTGCTTTCTGGACGCTCTGCTTCCAGCTGGAAAGACCACTGAGGAAGCCGCTCTTAAAGTACTTTCTGAAAAATTGCCTCCATCCATTCCATCTGGTGTTCTCCAGTGATGGAGAGCTGCCTGGATTGTCCCAGAAACTGAGGCAAGGGCTGCCAGGGTTCCCTCCAGAGAGGCACAGAAATGAGGAAGAAGTGGGGACTTGTGTTTTCCAGGTGAATCACAGAATGCTGGCCTCATACCTGTCATGCACAGGCGGCCTGAGCTTGGGGCAGGAGCTCAGTGTACCAGGGGAAGAGAAGCTGAAACACAGAGCTTCTGAAATACACAAACCATAGACTAAATTCTGCTTGATGAAATAAAACACACACATGCACACAGAAACTTTTAGCTAAAAACCTGGATGTATCAGGGCCGAGATGAAATAGAAATATCAAAGGTGTATGAAAAAGGAAGAAAGTATAATACTTTGGAGAATGTGAAAAACAAATGCGGAGAGCTGAGGAGAGAGAAAGGAAAGTGAGCCAGGGAGGGAGAGGTGCTCCTCCTGCACAGCAAGTTATCCGGGGAACAGGGCCTTCATCTCTCTGCCCACTGTTTATCAAGACACGTGGGGAATGAAGGCACAGTGTGCTCTTTGTGCGTTTTTTCATCATTTTTCCAGTGTGTGCCGATTGAACCAAAGCCGCTGTGTGGCACGCTGACAATGCCCTTTACCCTCCTTTTATCTGGCCTGTTCTCTAGACTTGTCATTATTTTTCAGGCCCCACATGTTGGATTCCTTTCATCTTTTCTCAGACATGATTACCTTCAGACCTGTTAAGTGAAAAGCTATGACATGGCACATAACATCTGAGCCATTTCAAATGGACCTCCTTGAAAGATTCATTTTAATACTAGAAAGGGACCTTCTTAATTAATCTTTGTTGTATATTATTATCACAAGATGAATAGGGAGGTACCTCATACCTCTAGGGATACCTACCTGTGAGGCCCCAGGGAAAAGAAGAAGAGGGAAAGGGGTTCAGTGAATGTGAAATTACCATATACTCTGGTTTATGCATTTTTAGAGAGTAAAATAATCTGTTTCTAGTCAATTATTTATACATAATCTAGTTTTAATAATTTGAGGTTTCTTACCAAAAAAAAAAAAAGACCTTATTCAGTAATAGGCACAGCTAATTAGACTAACATTGGTGGAGAAGGGGATATATATATATATATCTCCTTCATTCCGTTTCACTAAAGTATGAAATATTCTAGTATGGACAACATTGCCCTGACCGCAATAATTTTTTTTTCTGAAATATGCATCTCTAGTTTGACTCAAAATGTTCATATTCTAAAGAATCAGAGTGTTTCTTCTTTCTTGAAGTGGTTCTTCAAGGTAAGTCCTCTTCCTTCTCATAACTGAAGTGTAGGATTGGGTGATGCTCCAACTCGTCACTACAAGTCACTACAAGGCTTTTAGCAAAGCTCTGAAAACCTAATCGTGGAATGTGGAACCCCTCAGCGAAGATGCAGCAACAGCCATTCAAGCCAAAATGTAATAATGACTATCATTTGTTGATGTTTACTAAGGGCCAAGAATATGTAATCTCACCAACAATCTCTAAGAGACCAGTATCATTTTACTTGTTTTAGAGATGAGTAAATGAGTTAAGGAGAGGAGAAGCAATTTTATCATGGATCATGCATGTACAAATTGGCTGACAGTACACTTTGGTCACAGGCTCGTCACCAAATCTGTTCTTAGAACCCTTGCACTACCCAGATTTCAGGCTTTCAGGGATATTCTTGAGTTAGCCATAGATCTGTCCAGCAGTTATTATGCTAAACTTGGGTTGCTCCGTGAATCACTATTGAAAGTCATGGTCCATTCTATCACCTTCAGGATTTCACACAAGATAGAATCTATTTTGGAAAGAACTTTAAAGCAAGGTCAAGGGCATTATCAAATTTGAGACCATATTCTAAGAATGTCTACACCGATCATCAAGGAAAACAGGGTCCTACTCATGGAGTTCATTTATCAACTTGAGCCTATCTATAAGTAGATTGTAGTTTTCTTCTGAAGAAGCATGAACCCTGGAGTCAGAATGTCTGTGTCCAAACCCAGCTCTGCCACTTATCAACTGTGTCACCTTATCCAAGTTACTTAATAATAGCTCCATGCCTGAGTTTCCTTTTCTATGAAAAGACAGTGACAATAGTGCCCATCTTGGATATTTCTGGTGAGGATTGAATGTGTTCTTGTAGAAAGGTGTTTAGGAAGTATGCAACCCAGAGTAAGCACTTAATAAGCTGAAGTTATCACTGTTTTTAGTTGAAATTAATCCATTTGTCACCTTCTTTGGACATCACATTCATCACGTTCTTTTTCTTGTAAACATGTATTTTAGGGAAGGCTAGTGAGTCCAGTGATACTTGAGGTGACTTCAAAGAGGACCCTTTCCAGGGGTCATAAAATGCAAACCTTTACCACCCTACAAAGTAAAACTCCACCTTTGTTCTTCTCCTTCAAGCATTGCTGCGCCTTCTGGCTCATAACTCAGAGCATCTGAATGAGGGAAACTTTCTCTCTGGCTCAATCTCTCTTTTTTTTCACTCTCGCAAACAAACACACATAATTTCTTAAGAGATTTTTTTCCACATCACAGTCTTTTTTATGTATCCCAATTTTAAATTTAAAAGACTACCTATGCTGAGAATTGTTCAGTGATGTTGATTTATGAGACTTATGCAAAAAAGGACAGTCTTACCGATGCACATATCTATTTGGCAAGGCAGCAGTGATTTATAAAATGACAAGCTGGTGACACTCATATAAAGGCAGCTTTCACGTAGCAAGTGTAAAGGCAAAAAGAAAATCTGCTACCAGTTGAATGACAAATTCTTTTGCTATTTTAAGAAGAGTATAAATGCCACCCTAGCTTCCATTTCGTGTCCACCTAGTGGAGGGTGTGCCATCTTAGAAGGGGTGCACAAGGTGACCTTTTTTTCCTGTTCTGGATCTCTGAAGCTCAAAGTTGGTCTGTCTTTCTCTAGTCACTGTTTATTGGTGTGTCATCCATGAACTTTTCTAAGCTTCATTAAAGCTCGATACATTTTGTACATTTTTCCATCCAGATGACCTGCTGGAAAAATATGGCATATGATATCAAGCCTCTTTTACTTATCCTAGCAGAATGTATTTGACATTTGAATATGTGTTATAGGAAAACTAAACTGGAGAAATTAGACTATGCTTATTAGATTTTTAAGACTATTATCCAGTCCCTTAGGCTCAATCATTATTGGTTTGGTTTGATATTGAAACTCTTAATTTCTTCCCTCAATTCAGCTATCATTCCACAGTAGTCTTTCTTTCTTGAGACTTAGTGTAGCACGCCACAGACAAGAGTCCCACTAGGCCTCTAGGCCCTCCCCTGATAATGCCCAAACCATCAGACAAGATGGCTACAGCAGAAAATTGATCAAACACTGTCTGTAGTGAATTATCATGGCCTTTCTCTGACTACAGAAAAATATACACATATTGAACGGAAATGCACTGCACAATTGTTTCCATTTGTCACATCAGCTAAAAGTGCATTCTTGCATTCTTCCTACATGTATTTGTCAGGATAGGCTTGGTTATAGCCACAATACCAGTGGCTTACGTTAACACAAGTTATTTTTTGCTCATGCTGCATGCTTGTAATGGGTTAGTTGGGGTTTTGTTCCATGTCATCTTCACTTCTAGGAGCATGTTAATGGACCAATCTCTGTCTTGACTCTTGCTAGTCTTATGTCAGAAGAAAAAGGGATCATGGTAAACTAGGAAAATACCTACTCAGAAGAGACACACATCACTCTTCTCACATATTTTTAGCCAAAGCAAGACACATGGAAAATATAATTTTCCTCTAAGGAGGGGCACCAATAGGAGGAAAAATAACATCTTTTCTATGACAGAGGACTTTTGAAAAATAATCCCGCATACTATATTGAAAACTCAAAGAAGCAGAAGACGGTCACTGTAACATCATAAAACTGTCCCACAGGGTAAGATGTGTCTGTGTGAGGGGTTGATTGGGAAAAAACTATTTTGCAATGAACAGAAACGTTGGAAATTTCTAGAAAGAAGGAAAAAAGCAGTAGTACCTATTTACCACATCTTCATTAGGTGTCCAGGTCACGAATTTTGGCAGAACATGAAAGAGATAAGGACGAGGTCATATCGTTAGATCCTCTGAGAATCTTCCTAGAATAGTTTTATGAAGGTGACAGATAACAGTAAAATCAGAGAAACTGGGGTCTGATTGAAATCAACTCTTCCCCACCCTGAGGATCAGAAAATAACAGGACAATGTCCCTCTTGAGAAGGAAACTGTCCTACCTGGTGAGTGGAAGATATGTCTGTGGCGGGACTAATAGGAAAGTATGTATTGCAGTCATCAGAAGCACTGGACATTTCTACATAGAATGCAAATTTTCTTTTTTCTCAAAAAAGAAAGTAGCAACTGAGCGTAAGTGAACATAAATTATAGAAGGAGAAGAACAAAGAGCACTAAAAAATGAGAAAATGAAGAAAGCTGAGGAGCTGAAGGTGAGGAAAGAAAATGGGATTCCAATCAGGATAAGACAGGCAGGCAGACAAAAGCCTGGAGAAGAACTGGCAGATTGTAAGGAACCAAGAATGACAATATATTTTTACTGATAAAGCTTAGCAGTGTTAAAAAGGGTTTATGAGAAGTGGTGAGATAAGTAACATTAATTTCTGAAATCAACAAACATTTTGAAATTTGTCTATGGCAGGCACTGTGCCAGGTTGTGGAAATCGAAATTTGAATGATACACAGGCCTTGATCTCCAGTGGCTTATATTCTGGTAGGAGTGATAGTTAATATACAGGACATTCCATAATATGGGATTAAGCACAAAGAGAACTAAATTCAGGGTGCTAATAGGAGGAGCATGACACCTAAGACAAACAGAGGGAGAGAAGTCCTGGAGGAGGATCAAGAAAGGTTTTCTGAAATGATAATTCTTGAGTTTCATGTTAAAGGATAACTGAGACCTAAGTATCTAAGGGAAAGTTGGGAACATTGCACCTGACAGTGCAAAGAGCAGATGCTAGTGTATAGAAACAACAGAGCCATAAAATAAAAGGTCATAATTAGGGTGCTCACCCCAGACTTGTGTGGCCAAAGATGAGGGAAATGGGAAAGGAGATGCAGTGACAGGAAGGAATTCGAGTGTGAATCATAGACCAGGCTCCTGGTGTCAACTGCACCACTGTTCCACCAGATATTGAGCCAAGACTTAACTTCTCTGGGCCTCTGTTTTCTTTCTATTAAAAATGCTGGTGTTGAATTAATGATGTCTAAGACTTATTTCACACTGGAAATTATAAGTGGTATAAATAAAGAGTTATTAGTGAAGAGCTAGAGCTCTGGCAGCACTTTTAAAATTAGCTGTTACAGCAAAGGGATTAAGAAGAGAGATGCTATGTCCTGAAGAAGAAAGATGCTCAAAGGTATCTCAGGTCATGTTTTACCGACTTCCCAGTCTCAGCATCCCTTTTAGTCCCTTCCTGAAGGGACTACGATTGGGAGCTCATTACCACTTAAGAAAGCCGTTTTCAATGACAGGTCATTTTAATGTTTGGAAAATGCTCCCCTGGACTATGGTTAAAGCTCATGGATGATGAGTCAAAGTCACTGCAGCATCCTGAAACTGCTCCACAGGGGAGTGAGGGATTTGACTGCATGAGAGACTATTGGAGAAAACAGAAGCAAAGGACATTTCCATGCCAGAAGAAGAAAGATGAAGTTGAGAGTGAATGACCATGAATCACAGAGAGAGGAGAGGGGAACACATTAAAAAATTGAAAGAGAAACTAAGTTGAGAATTTGAGGTTGAGGAAAGAAGAGGGAATGCCATCGGGGTAAGGGTAGCAGACAGAATGCAACCTAGAGAAGAACTGGCAGTTGGTAAGGGACCAAGGTGAAGGAGAATGTATTTTTCACCCATAAAGTTCAGTAGTGCTTTTAGAATTGCAAATATGCATTTAAATTTAATAATACAATTATGGTATATTAAATGTCAAATGACTGTTACAGAAAAGCACTTAAAATTAATACATATGCATGAGATAAATCCTGTCTGGTTGTCAAGGTCTGAATTCAAAGTTATATAAGCCAGGCTTTGCACTGAATTTTGTTACATCTTAAAGTTGCAAAGATCTTTGAATTTCATTGGTATTTAGCAAAGAAGCATGACCAAAGCTTAGTTAGAACTGAGAGAAAAGGTGAGATTTTCGGGCAGTCAGCAGCAAAACCCAAATGCTATTCAAATCCAAAGTAAAACTGAAAGCAATAGTCATCTTCATTGCTGCTGTCATCATTGTCATCATTGCCATCATCATCATCATCACTATGGATGAAATGGCTGTTCAGTTACTTGAGTGTAGCTCTGTATTAACGAGGAGTCCTTGTTTCTTTCTGTCATTTCTACTTTACTTTCTCCTACCTTTTAGTGGGAAAAATATTGTTAAATTTATCTTTTTAATTTTAACCATATATATGCAGTTTTAATCATAAAGATATGCAATAAACATAAACATATACACAAGAAAGAGCAAGTTTCCTGTCACCACTAATATCCCTCCACCAATTACATTCTCAAAGGTAACCACGTGCTGTTCCAAACTTTTTCCTTCAGGGCAGTATTTTCTGAAATCTATTAGGCTACTTCTAGAGGGACAATCGTTTTGGTAAGCAGCAAACAATGGACATACACAACAAGTATGCTTCATGTAAGTGTATTATGTGCAGGAATTCGCTCTGAGAGACAGCTGCCATCTCTCTATGCTTGGAGACAAATATCTTGAGTCTCTGCACCCTAAATGTTGAGGTCAAACTTGTGGTTAAACTTGGTAGGTCGAACAAATGCATTTACCTTACCTCTGTCCTGGAATGCCAATACAGTGACAGTAAATGGATGTTCAACAACCCACAAAGATAATGACAAAGAAGGAGCAACATGGTTTTATAAATTGGAAAGCAGATACATAGGAATAAATGACACCCAGATGGGAGATACCTCAAATGTGAACCAGAGGCAGGCTGATTTATATGAAAGAACCCCAGAAAAACTAATAGTTAAGGTGCCAAATAGTTATAAAAGTCATGAAGCATTAATGACATTAAGTAGCCAAACTGTTTGAAAGTGGTGAAGGGTTTATTGTTGTCGTAGCAGGTTGAGCTAAAATAGTATACAAGACTTAGAATTTCCCCTAAATTTGACCTGCCATATCACTCTGGTGTGGTTTGTAGTATCCAAACTTCACCCTTATACTGTGAGGTTCAATCAACATCTTAGTGATTTACACATAAATAAGAATGGAAAGCAAAATCATGAAGTATTTGAAAAAACTTTTGGCCGAGTGGCGGCTCATGCCTCTAATCCCAACATTTTGGGAGGCCAAGGCGAGTGGATCACTTGAGGTCAGGAGTTCCAGACCAGCCTGGCCAACATTGTGAAACCCCGTCTCTACTAAAATACAAAAATTAGCCAGGTTTGGTATTGCGCACCTATAATCCCAGCTACTAGGGAGGCTGAGGCAGGCAAATCGCTTGAACCCGGGAGGTGGAGGTTGCAGTGAGCTGAGATCACGCCACTGACTGACTGCACTCCAGCCTGGGTGACAGAGTGAGAAACCATTTCAAAAAAATAAAAATTTTATATATATATATATATATATATATATATATATATGGAAGGAATTATCTAGGGACTTCCTATCATCTGGCCTAATATTTTCCTGTAGTAAGGTATCCAAAAAGCAAGAAACGTAGCTCCTCATATCTTTTTTTTTTTTTAACACTTCATGATAATCGGAGTAATTGCAGAGTGATATCCATTGATCCTCATTTACAGTTTGAGAGTTTGTAATATATAAGTAATCATCAGTTACTGATAAATTCCTCTTTTCCACCATCAATCTGTACTTGGACAAACCAGCAATCCTGGGGAAGCATAGCCACTTGTAGACCCAAAACTGTGGACTGTAGAGGGAGCAGACAATATTAGTGAATCTTCTTGGCTGGAGATAAAAATAGTTTCTGGTTGGTTTTATCAGCATTATAACTATCACTTTGATCTCCATTTATCTGCCCCATGTATCTTATTTCTCAATTATTTCTAAATTTCTAGAAAATGAAAAAAAGATCTATATTGTCTTTCTAAATCCCCAAAATTTCTAAAGTAAAAGACAAAAAAAAGGAACTCAGAGAAAATTGAAAATATTAAGAGATCAAAAAAATACAATATAAAATGATGACAGCAACCAGCAAACAACTATGTATAATAACCTGGGGGAGTAAGAGGAAAAGACGGCATGCATATGAGGAGGTTTAGCATTCATGAAAAGTTAAATATTGTTGGAAATCAAAAATATATAAACAGAAATTTAAACAATAGTAATTTTAAAGGATAATGCTAAAAATATAATAAAAAGACAAAGTGTCAAGTAATTAAGAAGATAGACAAAAAGTAGAGAGTCAATAGAGAAAGAACAAACAGAAAAAATGGAGGGGAAACTATTAAGGAAATAAATCAAGAAAAATTTTCAGATCTAGGGAACTTTAAGTTCTAGATCAAAAGTGCTTTTCAATATGTACTGCAGTGGATTAAAAAAAAAAAAAAGTAAAAGGGTAAAAGCACTCTAGTATGCTCCAGCACTGGCAGGCCATATGTAATCCTGGTCACCTCACTGCTACACAACTGGATCCTGGATTCTGCAGAATCCCCTGCTCATTTTGGCTTCTGTTTTCAGATTGACCTGCCACACTATCCAATGTGCAGCTGTTGAAGAGGGCCATTGCAAGCCCAGTTGCCATCTTTCTCCTTCCTTGTTCCCAGATGCTGAAAGCTATGATTTTGTTCTTGCAAAACATATATTTCTGGTTCACAGGGAGTTATCTTGTTACCTAGTTTGTCGTAAATTGTGTTCATGAGGTTTTGGTTTTACTGCCCTACTTCTTCATCTTTATGGGGGAATTTAAAGAGATTCAAAAATTAAGTTATGGTCTCTATTGTCCCAGAATCTTATTTTTGTAAATTGTTTAAATGTTTAAAAACTATACATGTGTAACACTCATTTATTAGCTCACAGTTCTGTAAATCAGAAGCCTAGCATGAATGACCGAGTTCTCTGCTTAAAGTATCACAAAGTTGAAATCAAGGTATGAGATTGTCTGAGTTCTTACATGGAAGATTTTGGGGAAAATCATCTTCTGAGCCCAATATTTATTGGCATACCTCAGCTTCTTATGGTTGTGGAACTGAGGTCCCAGTTTTCTTGTTGGTTGCCCACTGAGGGCTGCTGTCAATTCCTAGACGCCATCTATATTGCTTGACACATGATCACCTTCATCTTTAAGCCAGTGAGGGAACATTTAATCCTTCTGCTTTAAATCTCGGATTACCTGTTCTACTACCAGTTAGAAAAAAATACTTTATGCTTTCAAATGGTTCGTGTGATTAAATCATGCCCACATGGATAATCTTCCTATCTAAGGTAAACTGAATATTGTAACATAATCTAATCATGGAAGGTAAAGCCCATCATATTCAAAGTCCCAGGCATGAATACCAGGGGAGTAAATAGGAATTCTTAGAGGTCATCTTAAAATTCTTCCCACAATACTTGCACTTCTGAATTGGGAATCAATGAAAAATAAAACATAGCATATGGCTATTAAAATACCAGCTCCATTTCTCATGAAGCTGACCAGAGAATGTAGTTTTTGCCCAGTGGCTAAATGGGCTCACAGATCTCTCACTGAATCAAACCACTTTACTTTCCCCATGCTTAACATGGTATATGTCAGGCATCCCTGGTAAAGGAAGAACTTTACTTGATAAACTACCTCATGAAAGAAGAGTAAACTAGAATTCACTTTCTCTCCAGCCAAACAGATCTGAAAGCAAGAGACTGGAAACAAATCAAAATAAAACAAAATGGGAGAGTTGAGAGTGAACCAGACTCATTTCTTTTTTTTTTTTTCAAAACTTATCAACTAGATAACATACTTCTCCTGCCACAAGGAGAAATGTATAAGAGGCAAAGAGAGATTGTTTAATCCATGACAAGTACCCTCAAGTGAAAATACAATAGTAAGAAAATGCAATTCGCTACCTTTCTTCCAATGCCTATCATTTATTTTCTGATTGGTGCTCTTATATTCTCACCTCAAATCTTCTCCTTTGGGGCATCGACAATAAATTCCTGAATAATTTAAGTGAATTCAGAATACAATCATTGATGTGCAACATTTTTTACACATTTTTATAGATATTTCTGGGTATACATAGTTAAATAAAACAGTGGTTTTGTCCTTTAATATGACAATAAACAAACAAAAAAAAAACCCTTGATAACCCACTAGTGGGATTGATAAGCACATAAATAACAAGAATACAAAGAAAAATAATGTGCATGCAGTGATGAAGGTGTTAACAAAGAGCTTTCAGAATTCAGAGGAGAGAGTGGAAACTTTCAATTCAGGAGGGGAATTTGTGGGAATGTAGGAAATATGGGAAGTGGACTTAGTCAGAAGTGGGCATGAGAGTCATGAGAAATCAGAACAAAGGGATTGGGAGGCAAAGGTCCCTCATCTAGTCTTAGAGGACTGGAGGTGTGGGTGGAAAGGCAGCCAGAATGATCCGTATCATGCTTCTTCTAACCCCTGGTCTGCTTATCTCTACCCTTCAAAGGGACAATGTTCTACAGCTCAACTATAGAGTTTAGAATTTCTCTTTTATAACTATGTATTTTAAAAATTGAGGAGGCTTTTCAAACAGAAGTGGAGGGAATGTATTATAACTCGTGATTATAATAGTCCTTCTCTTTTGTTTACAAAGGACCAGACAGACTTCACAATGTGAAGATCACAAAAGCTACAGTACATTATTCTGCAGGTGCTTCAAGCTCAGCATGTCACAAACTGAGAACATTATTCTACTTTTCCACTCAAACCCATTCATCCTCCTATGTTCCTCTATGTCAATAAGATCAAATGAAATCAGTCCTAAAAACTAGAAATCTCAGAGCCATTCTTCATTCTACATTACCAATCAGTGAAAGAGTCCTTATTTAATAAAACTCTGGAAACTTTGTTGAAACTAACTCCACACTTTTATCCCCACACTCTTTTAATTAAGACTCTAATATATTTAATTAGTATTACTAAAATTTATTTCCCAAGTGACATTCTTTACTTTTAGTCTTGCCAACTTTCTTATCAATTCTTCCTTCAACCTGACGGTAGAAGGAACTGTCTAAAATATCAAATAACACTGTCAATACTATCATGCTCAATGATAAATAATTCAGGTTACACACATCTACTGAAAGTTTTCTATGTGCCAAACAACACTGCACTATTAGTTGGAAGGGTCCTGGCTATTGGTAATTTAGTGGAAAAATGAGATATATAAAAAGTATTTGTAGTATAGGACACTAAGTGCTTAGAAAAATTAAAAGAGTTATAGAAACATGTCAAATCATGTCTAAATTAGTCATGCAAATATATTTAGATTGTATTATTCAGGTAAGAGTTTGTTAAAAAAGACTGTAACGTGTGTAATAAATTTAAGTTTATTGCAGCTGTATAGTAGAGATGGACTACATGCATAGTAATCTATTTCTTTTTTGTGGGCACAAAAATAAGCGTTTCCCAGTCCATGGTTTGGATATTTCACCTCTCCAAATTTCATATTAAAATTTGATCTCCAGTGTTGGAGGTGGGGCCTAATGAGGGGTGTTTGGTTCATGGGGGCTGATCCATCATAAATGGCTTGGTGGCTTTCTTGCTATAATGAGTGAGTGATCCCTTTATTAGTTCCTGTGAGAGCAGTTTGTTTCAAAGAACCTAGAACCTGCCCCCCTCAACTCTTTTTGTCTCTCTCTTCATGTGATCTATGAACATGCTGCCTCCCCTTTCCCTACCATCATGAGTACAAGTAGCCTGAAGCCTTCACCAGAAGAAGATGATGGCACCATGCTTGTATAGCCTGTAGAACCTTAAGCCAAATAAACATCATTTCTTTATAAATTACCTAGTCTGAGATATTTCTTTATAACAACACAAATGAACTCAGACAACCAGCCTCTCTTGCACTTAGTTTAAGATGATGTTATTGTGTTTTGGACAATGGGAAATATGTCAAAGAATATATGCCAGTACTACTCAAAGTGTGGTCTGTGTAATACTATCTTTCCATCTTTCTTGCTGGTCCAAAATGAAGTAAGTGTGGAAATTGAGAGTAGGTGTCACTAGGCAGGACCCTCCAGCTTGCGCCCACAATGCAGTGATCCCACACTCGGCTGATTGCTCCAATTGTTATCAGCTATGCTTTTCTCTGGGGAGGAGCCACAGGAGACACATAAAGGGTCCTCTGCTATTGCCACTGCCAAGGTCACTGCCCCTCCTGCCTCCAAGCTGAGGAGGAAAGATAAAGCCTCAGCTCACCTCACCACTGCAGTATGCAGGCCGGGAATGTCAAGCCAAGATCCGGAGCCAGAATTCAAGTGGAAGAGAATCCCATGCCCTCAGGGCACTGGGAGAGAAAGCATGGCTACAAACATGAGAAAATATAGAGAAGCCACATGGCTGAGCAGGAGCCCACCTACTGGCCCTTACACCTAAATGTCATCCAGTAGATTGCAGCCCAAACTTCAATACCAAAAACCTTTGCTAATATACCCACCCCAGGAAACCAAAAACCTTTGCTAATATACCCATTCCATGAAACCAAGGACAAGAATTCAGCTCCAAATAAAGGCCTAGCGCAAAGCCTCTGCTCTCTGAAAATATCCAGAAATGAAGTTCAACTGACTATGCTCAAATTAAACCACAGTTAAAGGACCATCAGCTCACAGAGATAAGAAAGAACCAGCACAAGAACTCTGGCAATTCAAAAATCCACAATGTTTTCATTCTTCCACATAACTACACTAGTTCCCCAGCAATGGTTCTTAACCAGGCTGAAATGGTTGGAATGACAGACATAGAATTTAGAATATGGATAGGGATAAATATGATTGAGATTCAGAAACAGGTCAAAACCCAATCCAAGTAATCTAAGGAGTACAATACAATGATAAAGGAGCTAAAGAATGAAATGGCCATTCTAAGGAAGAACCAAACTGATCTAATAAAGCTGAAAAACACACTATAAGTATTTCATAATATACTTGCAAGTATTAACAGCAGAATTGACCAAGCTGAGGAAAGAATCTCAGAGCTCAAAGGCTGGTTCTCCAAACTAAATAAAGTTAGATGAAAATAATTTTTTACAATGAACAAATTCTCAAAGAAATATGAGACCATGTAAAGAGACTGAATCTAAGACTCATTGGCATCCCTAAAAGAAAGGGAGAGAAAACAACCAACTTGGAAAATATAGTTGAGGATATCATCCATGAAAATGTCTCCAACCTTGATAGAGAGGTTGACTTTCAAAATCCAGGAAATGTAGAGAGCTCCTACAAGATACTATACAAGATAACCATCCCCAAGATACACAGTCATCAGATTCTCCAAGGTTGGCATGAAAGAAAAAAATCTTAAAGGCAGCTAGAAAGAAGAGTCAGATCATCTAAAAAGAGAACTTCATCAGGGTAACAGCTGATGTTTCAGCAGAAACCCTACAAGCCAGAAAAGATTTGAAGGCCTATATACAACATTCTTAGAGAAAAGAAATTCTAAACAAGAATTTCGTATCCAGCCAAACTAAGCTTTATAAGGAAAGAATTTTTTTTCAGACAAGCAAATGCTAAGAAAATTTGTTACCACCAGACTTGCCTTAGGAAATGTCCTTAAGGGAGTGCTAAATACGGAAACAAAAGGCCATTACTAGCCACCACAAAAACAGAATTCAGTACATAGGCAATCGACACCATAAAGCAACTACACAATCAAATCTGCATAATAATGAGCTAACAACATGACACGATCAAATCTGCATATAACAATATTAACATTTAATGTAAATGGGTGAAATGCCTCAGTAAAAAGGCATAGAGTGGCAAGCTGTATAAAGAAGCAAGACCCAGTGGTATGCTGTCTTCAAGAGACCCATCTCACATGCAGTGACACCCACAGGCTCAAAGTAAAGTGATGGAGAAAATCTACCTATCAAATGGAAAACAAAAATAGTGCAGGGATTGCTATTCTAATTTCAGACAAAACAGGATTTAAACCAACAATGATAAAAAAGGACAAAAATGGTCATTATATAGTGGTAAAGGGTTTAATTCAACAAGAAGACTTAACTATTCTAAAAATATACACACTCAACACAGGATCAATCAGGTTCATAAAACAAGTTCTTAGACATCTGAAAAGAGACTTAGATAAGCATGTAATAATAGTGGGAGATTTTAACACCACACTGACACTTGTAGACAGATTATCGAGGAAGAAAACTAACAGGGACCAGAACTCAATATTTAACCAAATAGACCTAATATATATCTACAGAACTTTCCATCCAACAGCAACAGAATACACATTTTTCTAATCTTCACATGGCACGTACTTTAAAATCAACCAATCAGCCATAAAACAATTCTTAGTACATTAGAAAAAGGAATGAAATCATGCTAACCCCATGCTTAGACCACAACACAATAAAAACAGAAATAGTAAGAAGATTGTTCAAAACCATACAATTACATAAAAATTAAACAACCTGCTCCTGAATGATTTCTGGGTAAACAATGAAATTAAGCTAGAATATCAGGAAATTCTTTGAAACTAATAAAAATAAAAATAAAGCATACAGAATGTTTGGGACATGGCTAACGCAGTGTTAAGAGAAAATTTCATAGGCTAAACACCCATATCAAATTCTAGCACTTTGGGAGGCTGAGGCAGGTAGATCATCTGAGGTCAGGAGTTCAAGACCAGCCTCAGCAACATTGTGAAACTTCATCTCAACTACAAATACAAAAATTACCTCGGCATGGTGGCATGTGCCTGTAAACCCAGCTCCTTGGAAGGCTAAGTCACAAGAATCACTTGAACCTGAGAGACAGAGGTTGTAGTAAGCTGAGATCATGCCATTGCACTCCAGCCTGGGTGACAGAGTGAGAGTCTGTCTCAGAAAATAAAAAGAAGAAAGATCTCAAATTAACAACCTAACATCAAATCTTGAGTAGCTAGAAACAAAAAATAGCAAACCAACCTCAAAGCTAGCAGAAAACATAACCCAAATCAGATCTGAACTGAATGAAATTCAGATGTGAAAAAAATACAAAAGATCAATGAAATCAGAGGTTTGTTCTTTGAAGGAATTAATAAGATAGATGGACCACTAGCTAGACTAAAAAAAAAAAAAAAAAAGAGAGAGATCCAAATAAACATAATCAGAAATCACAAAGGAGACATCACCACAGATACCACAGAAATACAAAAAAAAAAAAAAGAGAGAGAGACATTATGAGTACCTCTCTGCACAAAAACTAGAAAACTTAGAAGAAATGGATACATTCTCATAAACAAACAGCCTCCCAAGACTGAACCAGAAAGAAATCGAATCCCTAAACAGACCAATAACAAGTTCTGAAACTGAATCAGTACCAAAAGCCTACTGACCAGAAATGGCCCAGATCTGGATGAATTTACAGCTGAATTCTGCAAAACATATAAAGAACAACTGGTAACATTTCTACTGAAACTATAGCAAAATATTGAAGCGGAGAGATTCCTCCCTAAGTCATTTTATGAGCCCAGCATCATCCTGATGCCCACAGCTGGCAATGACACAACAAAAAAAGAAAATGTCAGGCCAACACCTTTGATGAACATAGATGCAAAAATTCTCAACAAAATAATAGCAAACCATATTCAGCAGCATATCAACCACTGTGGAAGAAAGTGTGGTGATTCCTCAAGGATCTAGAACCAGAAATACCATTTGACCCAGCAATCCCATTACTGGGTATATACTCAAAGGATTATAAATCATTCTACTATAAAGACACATGCACACGTATGTTTATTGCAGCACTATTAACAATAGCAAAGACTTGGAACCAACCCAAATGCCCATCAATGATAGACTGGATAAAGAAAACGTGGCACATATACACCACGGAATACTGTGCATCCATAAAAAAAAGACGAGTTCGTGTCCTTTGCAGGGACATGGATGAAGCTGGAAACCATCATTCTCAGTAAACTAATACAGGAACAGAAAACCAAACACCACATGGTCTCACTCATAAGTGGGAGTTGAACAGTGAGAACATGTGGGCACAGGGAGGGGAACATCACACACTGGGGCCCGTCAGGGGGAGGGGGCTAAGGGAGGAATAACATTAGAGAAATATCTAATGTAGATGACGGGTTGATGGGTGCAGCAAACCACCATGGCATGTATATACCTATGTCACAAACCTGCACATTCTGCACATGTATCCCAGAACTTAAAGTATTAAAAAAAACAAAAAAAAGCTCATCCACCACAAATAAGTAGGTGTAACCCCTGGCCTGCAAGACTGGTTCAATATATGTAAATTAAGAAATGTGATTAATCACATAAACAACTAAAACCAAAAACCACACGAACATCTCAACTGATGAGGAAAAGGCTTTCAATAAAATTCAATATTCCTTCATGTTAAAAACCTCAACAAACTAGGTATTTAAGGAACATACTTCAAAATAATAAGAGCCATTTATGATAAACCCACAACCAACATCATATTGCATGTGCAAAAGCTGGAAGCATTCCCCTTTGAGACCTGAAATAAGACAAGCATGCCTACTCTCACCACTCGTATTCAACATAGTGTTGGACGTCTTAGCCAGAGCCATCAGGCAAGAGAAAGAAATAAAAGACATCCACAAAGTAAAAAAGGAATTCAAATTATCTTTTTTTGTATGAAACTTCAGAAAAGTTTCAGGATACAAAATCAATGTACAAAAATCAATAGCATTTATGTACACAAATAATGCCCAAGCTGATTGACAAATAAAGAATGCAGTCCTTTTGAAAATAGCCACAAAAAGATAAAATACCTGTGAATACAGCTCATTAGGAAAGTAGAAGAGCTCTACAATGAGAATTATAAAACACTGCTGAAAGAAATCAGAGATGACACAAACAAATGAAAAAAACTTTCCATGCTCATGCATAGGCAGAATAAATATCGTTTAAAAGGCCACATTGCCCAAAGCAATTTATAGATTTGACACTATTCCTGTCAAACTACCAATGACATTTTTCACAGAATTAGAAAAACTATTTTGAAAACTATATGGCACCAAAAAAGAGCATGGATAGTTAATGCAATTCTAAACAAAATAACAAAGCTGGAGGCATCATATTATCCAATTTCAAACTATACTACAAGTCTACAGTAACCAAAACAGCATGGCACTGGTACAAAAACCGAGACTAATGGAACAGAATAGACAGCACACCTACAGCCATCTATTCTTTGACAAAGCTGACCAAAACAAGCAATGGAGAAAGGACTTTATATTCAGTAAATTGCACTGAGATAACTGGATAGCCACGTGCAGAAGATTGAAGCTGGATCCTCCTTATTCTAACATATACAAAAATCAAGTCAAGATGGATTAAAGACTTAAATGTGAAACATAGAATTATAAAAAACCCTTCAAGAAAACCTAGGAAATACCATTCAAGACCTAGGCCCTGGCAAAGATTTTATAATGAGGATGCCAAAAGCAATTGAAACAAAAACAAAAATAGACAAATGAAACCAAATTAAACTAAGGAGCTTCTGTATAGCAAAAGAAGCTATCAACAATATAAACAGATAACCCACAAAATGGGAAAAAAATTTTTGCAAACCATGAATTTAATAAAGGTCACCTATACAGAATCTGTAAGAAACTTAAATGAATTAACAAGCAAAAACCAAACAAGTCCATTAAAAAGTGAACAAAGGACATGAACAGACACTTTTCAAAAGAAGACATATATGTGGCCAATAAGCATATGAAAAAATGTTCAACATCATTAATCATTAGAGAAATGCAAGTCAAAACCACAAGGTGATAACATTTCACACCAGTCAGAATGGCTATTATTAAAATGTCAATAAATAACAAGTACTGGCAAGGCTGCAGATAAAAGAGAACACTTACACACTGCTGATAGAAATGTAAATTAATTCAGCCACTGTGAAAAGGAGTTTGGCAATTTCTCAAAAAACATAAAACAGAACTACCATTTGACCCAGCAATCCCATTATTAAGTATATACTCAAAGGAATATAAATTGTTCTCCTATGAAGACACATGTGTACATATGTTCATCGCAGCACTATTCACAATAGCAAAGAAATGGAATAAACCTAAATGCCCATCAGTGGTGGACTGAGTAAAGAAAAATGTTTACATATACACCATGGAATACTATGCGGTAATAATAATGAAGAAAATCACGTCTTTTGCAGCCACATAGATGGAGGTGGAGGCCATCCTTCTAAGCAAACTAATGCAGAAACAGAAAACCAAACCCCACATGTTCTTACTTATAAGTTGGAGCAAAACACTCAGTACACACAGACACAAAGAAGGAATCAATAGACACCCAGGCCTATTTCAAGGTGGAGGGTTGGACTGAAAAGCTCCTTGTTGAGTATCATGGTTGTTAACTGGGTGATGAAATAATATGTACACTAAACCCCCATATTTTGCAAATTATCTATAGAATCAACCTGCACATGTACCCCTGAAACTGAAAGTTAAAAAACAATTGAGAGTAGCAATTTAAAAACTTTTATCACAATTTAATAAAGTAATTTTGTATCTATTAAATATAAAATATAAAAAATATAAAAGTGGATTTATATTGTATGTATCTTTAATTTCCTTCTATTATTTTTAGTAAATCATTAAGAATCAGAGGTTTATGCTTCATCAACACTTGCTCCTAAAATACCTCATCAACTCCCCCATGTTCTTGCTCCTTCACCATATCTGAGCAGTTGAAGGATGCTAAGAGAGTGAAATCAGATAATGGAAAGAATTTGGATTGTTAAATTCACTAATGATAGAGAACCCCAGGAAAGGCCATAGGAACCACAGTGAACTTTTCCTGAATAAGGATTCAACTTTTATTGTGTTAGGATGCTACAATTTGGGGTAATTTGCCAGTGTAACCAAGAGTGAGTTTACGGACAGAGAGCCAAATATGTTACTCACTCCTAATCTCAGCATACCTTTTTAATCTTATCTCGTAATAAAGTCCATGCATTTTTACACCTGTATTGCTTTACTAATGTTTCCTTAATCGACACCTAAAAAAAAATAATTAGCCAATTACACTTGGAATATTGTGTCTCTTCATTCTTCTTGTTATCTTTTTATGAATATATCATTCTGAATCTAAATGTAATAATGCATTAGTCTGTTCTCACACTGCTATACAGAACTGTGTGAGACTGGGTAATTTATGAAGGAAAGAGGTTTAATTGACTTATAGTTCCTCATGTGTGGGGAGGACTCAGGAAACTTACAATCATGGTGGAAGGTGAAAGGGAAGCAGGCACTTTCTTCACAAGGCAACAGGAGAGAGGGGGAGAGAGTGCAGGGGAAACTGACACTTTTAAGCCATCAAATCTCATGAGAACTCCCTTACTGTCCTGAGAACAGCATGGGGGAAACCACCTCCACGGTCCCATCACTCTCACCAGGTTTTCCACCTGACACATGGGGATTACAATTTGAGATTAGATTTGTTTGGGAACACAGAGCCAAACCATAAAAAATACCATCCAAAAGTCCTAATTTATTTTAATAACTAGGCCAAAAAGAGAAAATTAATATTTCTGGATACTAAAATATATCACAAATTGATAATTAAAATATATATTTTAAGATCCTGAAAAAAAAGAGAAATAAAAACAATAGGTTCCTTAATAACATGTGAGTACACATCTGAATTTAATACATGGTAAAAATAAAGGTATTTTAAATCAGTGAGTAAAAACATTCTTAAGACATTATGTTGGGATAATTAGCCATTTGAGTGAGGAGAGAAATCTGGATTATTATTACAATTTTGTATATAAATATGAGATTTAAACATAAAAGTTCCAGGAGTAAATACAGGTGCCTTACTTTTTAAATCTTAGCATTGAGAAGAACTTTCTAAGCGTAATCCCAATCAAAGTGGAGAAATAATAATTCATAAGACCTCACATGCATCATGAATCACAAAAACTAAATGCACTAAAATTCCAGAATGGAGAGAACTATCTTGAAATAAAGTGATTATGACTAACATTTATTTTTTTTCTTCAGAGCATTTGACAGTTTGGGGCATCTGCTAAGTATTGAGCCAAAGAGAGAGAGACTCTACTATGAAAAAGAGTAACTAGAAAAGTTTTTAGTAGCTCTACACAGGGATAGGAACCATGCTGAAAACTCAAGAGGCTTTAAATCCATGGCTAGTTTTCTCCACAAAATGTTTACTGAATGCCAGGGCTACATCAAGGCTGGGGAGAGAAGACTGATAGATTTTTAAAAACAGAATAGAAGTATCCACATCTTCTTATTTAGAAAAAAAAAAATCTTCCAAAAGAAGCAGTCTACCCCCAAAACACTGCTATTCTGCTCAAGATATTTACCAAATTTTGAAGACATTTTGGGGTAGGAGGCCAAAGATGTGAGCTGTAAACCCCTGAAGATGAGGAATGAATCTCTTCAGTTTTCATGGCCAAGGAGATAAATATTCACAAGACTTTCAATAAACAATTTGTGGAGAATAATTTCATAGAAACAGAAATCAACCAGAAATACTCTGAATCTTTTAAACTAAAATCAAACCAATACAGTGCAAACCTTGGCTGAACTGAGCACTCAGATCAACCCTCACTCTCTCTTCATAACAACAGAAAAATGAAGCAATCTCTGGTTAAACGTATCATCATGAAGGGCCTCTACAGTTATTTCACATGTAATGTGTGGCATACTATAAAAAATTACTTAATTACTAGACATGTGAAGAGACAGCCTTGCTAGGAACAGTATTATTGGTTGACAGTTTTTTGAGGGTTTTTTTGTTGTTTTGTTTTGGCATTTTGAGTATCTTCCCACTGTCCTATCATGCAAGATTTCTTCTGAGAATTCTGCTGATAGTGTTAAGGAGGGAGGGGGTGTTTCATGTAAGTGACAAGCTGCTTTTCTCAGAGGGTTTCAAAATTATCTTTTTGCATTTGAATTTCTGTAATTTGTTTCTAATGTTTCTCAGTGGAAATCTATTTATATTTAATCATTGTGGGATTCTTCAGCCTTTATGGATCTGTATGGTCATTTTTCTTTCCCAGTTTGGGAGGTTGTCATGTATTACATTTTAAAATAAACTGCCTTCCCTTTGTCTTTCTCCACTCTTTCTGATATTCCCATAATGTATATGTTGGTAGGCTTGGCAGTGTCTCATAGGTTCATAATCATTCTTTTCTCTTTTTTATTCTTTTTTGTTTGTTTTTAAAGTTTTTCTTCCCCTGGCAAGATAATTTCAAATACCTTGCTTTGAGATGACTGACTCTTTTGCTTAAGTCTGCTATTGAAACTCTCTATTGAATTTCTCACTTCAGTCATTGTGTTCTTCGTTTAAGAATTTTCCATTTGTTATGGGTTTTATCTTTTTATTGAACTTCTAATTCTGTTAATGTTCTTTTAAATGTATTTAATGTATTCATTTATATTGGTATATAAGCTTTGTACATCTTTATGGGGTACATGTGGTATTTTGTTACATTCATAGACTGTAATATTCAAGTTAGAGTATTTAGGATATCTGTCAGTTCAAATATTTATAATTTCTATGTGTTGAGAACATTTCAAGTCCTCTACCTGTTTTGAAATGTACTAAATACATTGTTAACTATAGTCACCCTACTCTGCTACTGAATGTTATAATTTATTCCTTCTATCTAACCATATGTTTGTACTAATTAACCAATTTGTCTTTTTCTTCTCACCCAGACACCCTTTCCAGTCTCTGGTATCCATCCATTAACTTTCTACCTCCATGAGATCAACGTTTTTAGCTCCCATATGTAAGTGAGAACATGCTATATTTGTTTTTCTGTGACTGGATTATTTCACTTAACATAATGCCTTCCAGTTTTATCCATGTGGTTGCAAATTACATTATTTTATTCTCTTTCTGTGGCCACATAGTATTATATTGTGTGTATATTTTTGTGTATATTGTATGCATTTTTTAATCTCTTTATGCACTGATGGAAACTTAGGTTGATTTTATATCTTTACTATTGTTAATAGTGTTTCAGTAAACATGGGGGGGGTGCAGGTATCCCTTCGATTTACTGATCTCTTTTTCTTTGGATAAATACCCAGTAGTGGGATTGCTGAATCATATGCTAGTTCTATTTTCAGTTATTCGAGAGATATTCATATTGATTTCCATAGTGGCTGGAGTAATTCAAAATCGCACCACAGTGTATAACGGCTCCCTTTTCTCTGTATCTTTATTAGTATCTATTATTTTTTGTCTTTTTAGTTATAGCTATTCTAACTGAGGTGAGATGATGTCTCATTGAGATTTTGATCTGCCTTCCCCTGATGATTACTGATGTTGAAAATATTTACATATACCTGTTGGCCAACTATATGTCTTTTTTTTGAGAAATGTCTGTTCATGTCCTTTGCTCACATTTAAACGTAATTTTCTTCCAGTTAAGTTTATTATATATTCTGAATATTAGCCCCTTGCTGAATACTTTGCTAAAATTTTCTCCAATCCAACATGTGGTCTGATCAATCTGTCAACTGTTTCATTTGCTCTACAGAGACATTTTAGTTTAATGTAGTCCCATTTGTCTATTTTCATTTTTGTTGCATGTGCTTTCGAGGTCTTAACCATAAAATCTTTGCCTAGACTGATGTCCTAAAGTGTCTTTCATGTTTTCTTCTAGTATTTTTATAGTTTGGGGTCTAATGTTTAAGTCTTTAATCCATCTTGAATACTTGTATATGGTGAGAGATAGGGGTCCACTTGTATTCTTCCTCACACGAGTATCTAATTTTTCCAGCATCATTTACTAGAGAGGGTGTCCTTTTCCCAATGCACATTCTTGGTGCCTTCATGAAAAATTAGTTGTCTGTAAATATGTGGATTCATTTCTTGTTTCTCTGTTTTCGCCCATTGGCCTACGTGTCTGTTTTTATAGCAATGTTACGCTGTTTTTGTTACTATAGTATTTTAATATATTTTGAAACCAGGTAGTGTGATGCTTCCAGCTTTGTTCTTTTTTATCAGAATGGTACGGCTATTCAGGTTTTTTTTTGGTTAATTTCTCATTTATATATGGAACTGTTTTTTCTGATTTCTTTGTTACTTTTCTGTATTCTCTTATTTTTTCTATATTCTTTTGCATCTCACTGAGCTTCTTCAGTATAATAATTTAAATTATTTTCCAGGGTTTTGTAAATTTATTTTTCATTGGGATCTATTGCTGGATAATTATTTTGTTCTTTTAGAAGTATTATATTTCCTTGAATTTTCATCTTTCTTGTGTCTTTACATTGATATCTGTGCATCTGGTGTAACAGGCACTTATTCCAATTATTTTGAATTTGCTTTTGTAAAACAGGACTTTTTTTCTGAAGATGTATCTATGGTGTTTTTTTGAGTAAGGTACTTTGGCTTTGATTCTGGATGCATGCAGTAATATAGACTTTTATGATTTTTTTCGGCTGTAAACAGCATCAGTGGTATCTGTAATTTCCTCAGTAACTTAGGGTGAAGTTGTTAGTGGAGACTTTGTTACAGCTTTCCTGGGAATAAGGATGCTAGGTGGGCCTGTCTGTGGGCCTCAGTGGTGCCAGAGTGTGCTGAGCATACCTGTTCTTGAGCCCCAGGGTGGCACAGAGTGGCACTGGTGTCAGTGGGTTCATGCAGAGCAATTTTGGGGCTTCCAAGCAGCTTGCTCAGGTGCCAGTAGTGGCAGCTGTGGGTCAGGTGGGTGGGCAGAATCTCAGGCCCCTGGGTAGCAGACATGTCATGCATCATGGCAGTAACAGTGGCAGGACAACTCTATGACTCCCAAATGATCCACACTGTTGGTGGTGGTTGTAATGGGCTGGGTGAGCCAGTCCCCAGTCCCACAGGTGGGCCAATGGTAGCAGACTAAGCTGGGTTGTCCCCAGGCCTCCAGCCAACTTGCTCAGGGACTCGGGGGATGACACTGGGCTGGGCAAACCAGTACTTAGCTCCAACCACCAGCCCCCGATGCCCCCACCCTGCCCCGCAGTGTCGCAAGCAAGAGCTGGCTATTGTAAGCAGGATGGGGTAATACTTAACACCTTGGTAGAATGCTAGAGTTGGGGCAGCACAGGGTGGGATTGCTTTCAGTGGCCTTAGGCATATGCAGATGTCTGGAGAGCATGCATTTCATTTGTGCTTTGGCCCCAGCAGTGGAAGCCTGTAGCAACTGTTGCTGTAGGGAGGAGGGTTTGTTCTCAGTGCACGTGAAAATACATGACAGCTTTGCTGTTGGGGGTAGCAGGATTGGTAATTCAGCTTTGACAGCAGCAGTCAACTGCATCAGTGGCTGAGGGCAGAAATGTCAATGGGGCTCCAGAAATATGGGGATATGGGGGCCACTGGGCACTCAAGCAGGATTTAGTCTGATGGGGACTGGGCTTTTAATATTATGCCTTGCTGTAGCTGCTTAAGACTCAGAGGCTATTTGACCCAGTGTGAGCTTCCCTCTCTGGAGTCATGCCTTTGTGTGGTCTCTTGGCAGCTCCCTATGTTAGTCTCAGAGCCTATGAAGGTCTATGGGCTCTCCCATGGCTAGGATTGGTGGAGTCTGCTGTGGGAAGGTAGATCACCAGGGTTCTCTCATTTACCCTTTACCTGCATGGGACCCAGGATCCCACCTGATCTCAACTAAGCAGGCTGCCTCACGTCTCTCTTCTTTTTTACTTAAGGTATTTCCTGTCTTTTCTCTGTTAAATTACAGTGTTCTCTCTTACATGGTCTATTTGAAGTGTAATTATCTACTTGCTATTTTGGTCTTTCTGGAGGAGGCAAGTAACACATGCTTCTAGTCAGCCATCTTAATGCCCCCTCCAGATTTTCAGTCCTTTTTTCAAAAAGCTTTACTTAGTTGTCTATTTTTGTTCTCTTATAGCTCATTGAGCTTTTTGAACATTATTTTGAATTACTTCTCAAGGAATTTGTAGATCTCCATTTCTTCAAGATCAGTTACTGGTGCTTTATTTTGTTCCTTTGATGGTGTTATTTTCCCTGATTATTCACAGTCCTTGTGGCTTTGTGCTGGGATCTGCACATTTAGAGAAGAAGACACTTCTTCCAGTCTTTATAGTCTGGCTATAGCAGGAAAAGCCCTATACCAGTCAGTCTACCCAGAGATCCTGAGCAAGTCATTTGGCAAGATATGAAGGCAGGCTTGCTATGTGAGTCACTGAGTGGGCAACATCAGTGCCTGAGCCAGTGGGTGTATGGGTCTGGTGCCCACAGAAATAAAAGAGACCATTAGTGACTACTATAAAAAATTATATACCAACAAACTGTGTAACCTAGAAGTAATGGATAAATTCCTAAGATCATACAACCTACCAAGATCGAACTATGAAGACACAGAAAATTTGAACAGAATAATCAGAATTAAAGATATTGAATCAGTTTCAGAAACCTCCCAACAAAGGAATTTCCAGGACCTGATTACTTTCCTGCTAAATCCTACCAAATATGTAAAGAATTAATGCCAATCCCTCTCAAAATCTTACACGTTTTTTTAAAGGAACACTTTCAAACTCATTTAATGAAGGCAGCCTTAATCTCATACCAAAGCCAAACAAGGACACTACAAGCGAAAAAAAAAAATTATTGACCAATATGCCTGATAAACATAGATGCAAAAATCCTCAACAAGATACTAGTAAACCAAACTCAACAACACATCAAAAAATATATCATTCACCATGATTATGTGTTCCTAGGATTGCAAGGACAGTTTAACATACACACATTAATATATGTGATATGCCACATTAACGTAACGAAAGACAAAAACAATATAATTGTTTCAATAAATGTATGAAGTGAAAAAGAAACAAAAAAATGGAAAGATGCCCTGTGTTCATGAATTAAAAGGATTAATACTGTTATAACACACATACTATCCCAAGTGATCTACAGATTGAATGAAATCCCTGCCAAAATTTCCATTACTTTTTATACAGAAATAGAAAAATAGCCTAAAATTTATTTGGAACCACAATAGACCCTGAATAGTCAAATCATGAGCAAACTAAACAAGGTTGGAAGCATCATACTACCTGATTTTAAACATACTACAAAGCAATAATAATCAAATTAGCATGTTACTGGACTAAGAACAGCCATATCGACCAAGGAAAAGAATAAAGAGCCCAGAAATAAATTTACATATGTATGGTCATATTTGTTCTTGACAAAGCTGTCAAGAACACATAACAGGGAAAGGGCAGTCTCTTTAATAAATGGTGTTGGGAAATCTGGATATCCACAGGCAGAAGAAGGCATTAGGCCTTCTTCTCACACTGTATACATAAATGAACTCAAAATGAATTAAAAACTTAAACGTAACATCTGAAACTGTAAAACTAGAGAAAAAAATGAAAAACATTGTTGATATTGTTTTTGGCAGTACTTTTTAAAAAATAGGTCTTCAAAAGCACAAGCAACAAACACAAAGTTAGTAAATAGGATTACATCAAGCTACAAAGCTTCTGCACAGCCATGGAAAACAATCAACAGAGGGAAGAGACAAAAAAAATAGGTCTTCAAAAGCACAAGCGACAAACACAAAGTTAGTAAATAGGATTACATCAAGCTACAAATTTTCTGCACAGCCGTGGAAAACAATCAACAGAGGGAAAAGACAACCTGTAAAATGTGAGAAAATAGTTGTGAACTATATATCTGAAAGGATTTAATATTCAATACATATAATAACTCAAACTCAATAGCAAAACCAATCAAATAATTCAATTTAAAAATAAGCTAAGTATCTGTGTAAACATTTCTCAGAATGATACATACAAATGGCCAACAGGTATATGAAAAAAATGTTCAACATTACTAATAATCACGTAAATGCAAACCATAATGAGATTATCACCTTATATCTGATAGAATGGCTATTATCTATAAGACAAAGGTAAGTGTTGGAGAGGAGGTGGAGGAAAGGAAACACTTGTACCTTGTTGGTGGTAATGCAAATTACTATAGCCACTGTGGAAAACAGTATGGAGGTTCCTCAAAAAATTTAAAATAGAATGACCATATGATCCAGTAGTTCCAGTCCTGGGCATATGTCCAAAGAGAATAAAATTAATTTTAAATGAATATTGGATGCCCTCCCCATAAGAACAAAACTTTATAAAAAATTTGAGCTATAGTGGACAGGAGAGTGGAATAGAAGAGTTGCTAGATAAAGCTACCCTGAGAAAGTTCATAGGGTAGCATGAGACATGGTGCAAGCACTTAAGAGAACAGGGATAAAAATAATAATATGGAATTAAAATTGTGAAAAAAGAAACAGAAAAAGGTCTCATCTCCCAAAATATGGCAAATACATTGTGAGCAATAAGGATTCCTCACTTTGAAAGAATGCAAGCCAATCAGAAGGTGCAGGACAGAGTTATATTTTTGTTATAGTAGGAGGCAGAAAAGACATTTAGTAATACATTTAGGAATACAGAAAATGTCTTTTACCTTAAAAAAAATAAATGCCAGAGAGCATGCTATATCTGAAAGATTTGATAAGGGGAGGAGTAAAAGGAAGTAGCATTAGAGGAGAAGAGTTAAGAACATAGGAAGAGTGAACATACAGAGTGACTAAAACCTCAGATACAGATTGAACATCCCGATCCAAAAGTCCAAAATCTAAAATCCTCAAAATCTGAAACTTTTTGAGTGCTGATTTGATGCCACAAGTTACCTTGAACACATTATTTTTCACTTACATGTGAATAACTGTAAGAATATGATTGTTTATCAGTAGCATAAATTTAGAGTCAGGCATGATGGCAGTGCCAAACATAGATTGTCCATATGGGTGGCTGAGAAAGTGACAACTTTGCTTTCTAATGGTTTAATGTACATGAACTTTAATGTACAAAGCTATTAAAAATATTGTATAAAATAACCTACAGCCCATGTGTATAAGGTATATGTGAAACATAAATACGTTTTATGTTTAGACTTAGGTCGTACACCCAAGACAACTCATTATGTACATGCAAATATTCCGAAATCCAAAAAGCTTCCAAAATCCAAAACATTTCTAGTTCCAAGCATTTCAGATGAGGGATACTCAACCTGTATAACCAAGGATAACTGAGCTTCTGAGGCTATCTCAGTCCATGTGAGTGTACATGATTATTATCTTTGGGGGACACATTTTTCAATGTACTTGAAAATAGTGGCACCATACTGACAGTGGTATACATGTGAAATGAGAGAGAAATAGGAAGAACTGTGGCCATCCTTTCATAATATAACTCCAATCTTACATAAACCTTAAAATACCTCAGTTACTTTGATCTGGAAGATGCATTGGAGATCACCTACTCCCAGCATGTATATAATGTAAGAACTCTTCTAAAACATCCTTGAAAGAAAATGGTTAAGTTTCTTCTTTAATGCCCCAAGCACTGGAGAACTGACTACTTCATGCAATTACCCTCTTCAATTTCAAACAATTCTGTTATTTTTTCTAAACTTGAGTCCACATCTGCCTCCATATAATTCACATATATTAGTCCTGGTTCTGCCTGCTGAAGCCAAACAGAACAAGCCTGCTTCCTGTTCCACATGACAGCACATCAAATATTTATTGACAGTTCACATGTCATCAGTGTTTTCTCCAAGCCAAACTCCCTTAGGTCCCCACCGTCTCAAAATCGATGGAGTATGGCAACACGGATGATGTATCCTTCATTTACAAAGCCACTAACACCTGTTTCACATACTAAATGGTAGTAAAATACATAAAATCCTGGTCAGAATTTACTCCTGGGGTTTCCTGGCATATAATAAGACAGATCTGCATATGGAGAAGCAGATGATTCATCTTTAAAGTCTTACCATTGTGCTGATGAACTCATACTCCACTTCTGCTGTTAAAACAGCAAATATACTTTATACTCTATGTATATAATGGTTTTGTCTGTTTGTATGTTTGTTATTTTTTATTTTATTTTATTTTTTTAGATGAGGTCTCACTATGTTGCCCAGACTGGTTTCGAACTCCTGAGCTCAAGCAATCCTCCCACCTCTACCTCCCAAAGTGTTGGGATTACAGACACGAGCCACTCAACCCGTCCCTCATTTTAAATAATTATAATTACAGTTTCATAATTGGTAACTACCAGTTTAAAACTGATTTTATAAGCATTGTAGGCCAAGTGAACTGAACCGAGAAATAGCAAATGTGTCTAAAGATTATTCTGTCACAAAATTAAGTTATTTTTGTACTCCTAAATTCTATATTAGAAAACTTGGGAAGGAAGAATTGCTTTAGGGACCCACACAATACCAAATTTCTCCAATTAAGTTCTGTTTGTTGTAGAAGTGGCCTCTGGACTCACTTGAAGCAGAAAAGGGAAACAATTCTTCTCAATAACATCCATGTGAGTTCAGCAATGTGGCTCTTACTGGTTGCTGCTGCTCCTCTTGCTTGCACTGTCAGCATTATTTATCACCACGTAATGCAACTCTTGTGCAACCAACTAGCTAACTCCAAGTACCTTCTCTGAGTAGTGTGAGCTATGTTCAATGCTAAGGTAGATTCACCAGGAACGTAGGCCATTGTCTCTTCTTTAAAGAGTTTCCAACATAATTGAGATGACACTAAAACTTCAGCATTATTAACCTAGAGAGATCAATCATAAAATGAATGGAGGAAGGAATACTGAATTAATCTAAGTATATACATTTAACAATAGAGCTTCATGTGAGTCCTGGATTTACTATGTATTAGTACCATGGCTATTGATCAGTCACTAAACCTCTATTATCCTATAGCAGGGGAACAATAGTGAATTTTGTGTTGTAGTATTAAATGGCCACTTCTTCAATCTTTTTACTTAAAGTGTAATAGTATATCACTGATTTCTCCCTACTTCTTGAAACAGGTTTTTTTTTTTCTAAGTTTCCACCCCATACTCTTCTGGTTCTTCTAGTCTATTGGCTGCCCCCTCACAGTATATTTTGCTATTTTTTCCATGTATTCCAGATTTCTCAGAGTTGGATTTGGTGCTAGGACATCTTCCCTTCTCTAGTTACATTTCTTCTATAAGTAATCTTATCTGGTACCACAGATTTAAATATTATGTACATATCAGCAACTCCCAAAATTATATCTCCAGATCCCATCTCCTATGTTCCTGTCCCCTTAACTAATTTCCTTCTTTACATATTTTACTCAATGTCTAATAAGCGTCTCAAGCTAAATATGTCCAACTCAGAAAAAAATACTTTCCCTCTTTAAGATCAGTTTTCTCCTGACTTTCTCACTTTAAGGAAATACATTGGTCTCTACAGGATTTCTATAGCCAAAGACATGGCATAATCCTCGACTCTAAAACATATGCTACATCAGTTGTCTCCCTCCCACTCCCACCACTACCTTCCAGTCTAAGTACTGATTCCTCTTCTTCTGCCTGGACTTGATCTTCTATCCAATTTCCTTTCTTCTGCTCTTGTTCCAGACAACCCATTTCTAACACTTCAGACAGACTAATCTTTTAAAAAATTTAATTAGAATCAGGCTACTCTCCTACCAAAAAAAAATAATAATAATAACCAAAAACAAAACAATCTAGTTTGTATTTCATACTAAAAAAAAAAAAACTAAAACAAACAGTTCCTAGGACCTGTAAGGGCCTACAATGTCTGGTCTCTGGCTACCTTCCTGACATCACCTCCTGCAGTTTTCCCCTCATTTGCTATGTTGCAGCCACACTGACCTCCTTGAACATGGCTCATTTGTCCTTGGAACTTTTATAGCAGTGATTTCCTCTGCCTTCCACTGTGCCCTGCATCTCTTTATGGCAGGTTTCCTATCAGCTAGATCCATTCTTCTGAGAAAGCTTCCTTGAGTGTAAAATATATATGGCAGCCATGAGAATGCTCTTTTCAGACTTCCAACAATAAGGAGCAGAAGTGACCCAGTTGCTGCACTTTGGTACCCATCATTGTGTTTGCACCAAAGCCATGCTGATCCTAGTTGATGCCCAAGTTTAGTGAAGATACTAAGGTAGAACTCATTTTTAAGAGACACAGGAGCTCCTGAGAACCATCTTTGGTTTAAAGACTCCTGGTTAATTCTGCCAAATCATAGAGTGCACAGCAGTCTATGGTCCATTTCCTCAACTTTCCTCCCTCTCCCCTTCACTCAGGGTCCTGCTTGCATCAAGGTCTGTCAGCTCTCCCAGCCTCTTACAGATCCTCCTTATTTTCTCCTACACATCAATTTTCCACAGTAAAGCCTTTACACTGTTAAAATCTTATTCTTTTTCACTTCTTGAAGTGAAGGAGCCAGACTAAATAGTATAGAGATTTGATTCTGTAACATTCATAATTTTCAAAAATATATAGACTGATCATAACTTTTAAATTTAAGAATGACATACAATACTATAGAAATTATGGGATACAATGTGACATTTCCGTACATATATACATTGATCAAATAAGGGTAGTTAGTATATTTAAATTGATTAAACATTAATCATTTCTTTGTGATAAGAACATTCAAAAATTCTAACTTTATGAAATATGCAATATATTAATTCTAGTCATCTTTCTATGCAATAGAATGCCAGAAGCCACTAACCAATCTCTCATCATTCCCTCTCCCTCTCCCTCTTCCCCTCATCATCCTCTGGTAACTATTATTTCACTTCTACTTTTTGTGAGAACAGCTTTTAAGATTCCACTTATGAGTAAGAACATGCAGTATTTGTGTTTCTGTGCCTGGCTTATTTTACATAAAATGTCTTCCAGGTTCATCCATATTGCCGCCAATTATAGAATTTTATTTTTTATGGATGAATAGTATTTCATTGTCTATATTCATATCACTTTTTCTTTATCCATTCTTCTATTGATGAACAGTTAAGTTGATTCCATATCTTTGCTATTGTGAATAATGTTGCACTCAACATTGGAGTACAGATGGCTCTTCAATGTACTAATATCATTTTCTTTGTATAAATACCCAGTTGTGGGGTTGCTGGATTATATGCTAGTTTTATGCAATCTCTATCAAAATATCAATGCCATTCTTTACAAAAATAGAAAAAAAATTCTAAAATCCATATGGAACCGCAAAGACCCCGAACAGCCTAAGCAATTTTGGGCAAAAAGAACAAAGCTGGTAGCATCACACTACCTGACTTATTAAATGCTATAAGCATACTACAAAGTTGTAGTAAACAAAACAGCATGGTAGTGGAATAAAAGAAGACATAGATCAGTGGAACAGAATGCAAAGCCCAGAAAGAAACCCAAGCATCTACAATCAAGTGTCTTTCAACAAACACGTCAAGTATACGCAATGGGGAAAGGACAGCCTCTCCAACAAATGGTCATGGGAGAACTGGATCTCAACATGAAGAAGAATGAAACTAGACCCTATCTCTCACCATATACAAAAATTAACTCAAAATGGATTAACAACTTGAATGTAAGACCTAAACCTATGAAAGTACTGGAAGAAAACATAGGTGAAAATTTCTGTAACATTAGTCTAACCAATAATTTTCTTAATAAAACTGCAAAAGCATAGGCAACAAAAGCAAATACAGATAAATGGGATTACATCAGACTAAAAAAGCTTCTTCACAACAACAAAAATCAACAAAGCAAAGAAACAACCTACAGATTGTGAAAATAAATATACTTGCAAACTGTACATCTATTAAAGGGTTAATATTCAAAATATACAAGGAACTCTTACAACTCAACAATAAAAAAAAAAACCTGATTAAAAATGGGCAAAATTACAATAATCTACATTTCTAGAATAAAGAATAGAAAACTATTTAGGGTGATGGATATTCTGATCACACTGATATGATCCTTATAAACTATATGAATGTAGTAAATGATCACATGTACCCCTAAAATATGATGTATCAGTTAAAAATAAAATTAATTTTAAAATGAGCAAAAGATCTGAATAGACATTTCTCCAAAGAAGACATACAAATGGCCAACAGGTATATGAAAAAAAATGTTCAATATCACTAATTATCAGGGAAATGCAAATCAAGACTGCAAGAAGATAACATCTCACTCCAATCAGAATGGCTACAATTAAAAAATCATAAAACACACAGTATTGGTGAGGATATAGAGAGAAAAGAACCTTGACAAACTGCTGGTAGTAATATAAATTAGCACAACCATTATGGAAAACCCTATGGAGTTTCCTGCAAAAAAAACTATAGGACTGATCATAATTTTTAAAGTTGTTTATATTGTTGCATCATTCAGCCACTGTAACAACTCTATCCCCATTTTATGTGTTCAGAGCTGAGGCTCAGAAAGAATAAATGACTTACGTTAAGGATTACAACAAACAAGTTCCAAAGCAGAATCTGCCTTTTAACTCCAAACTCCTCCACCACATTTATCATCTTCCTTCTTCTGTACCAAGGAGGGCTGCAGAGATGCCTAAGAAGACTAAAAACTACCAGATCTACATCCAATTTATGCTCTGAGGTTGTGTGCTTTGGTTATGACTGACCCTGGGGTTATGCATTTAGTTAGGAAGGACAGAATGCTTAGCATTTTTATTATACATGGCATTCATCTCCAACAGTAACACACTCTTTACATTATGCGATGCATTTCCTTCTGGCTTCTCATTTTAGTGAATCACTTGATTTACGAAAGGTCAATGTCCTTGTCAGCAATAGGGTGCATTCTAGCATTGTGACGTGACAAAAGCTGCACCCTGTTAGCAGTCACTGTCAGCAATGAGGCTGTGATCCTACCTTTCTAGCCCTGGCAGGGCCATTTCACTCTCATTTCAGACCAGCCTAGAAGAAAGAATTTCTCCTTCTTTAATGTTTGAAAGATGAATCCACCTGCTTCTCCAAATGCCCAGCAGAATTGCTGCTGGCTGTTTGCAAGGATCATTTTATCAAAACTTCACTGCAAAGACTTTCTATCTCTTCACTCAGCTATCATTCGTGTACCAACACTACTGCTTTCCAATTCTCAAGGGGACTTAACAAACCCCAAAGGGACTGGAGAGTGCAGCCACCACCTCTCAGACCTTGAAATATTCAAACTTACAAAGTTCTCAGGAGTACCCTGCAGTGTGTACACATTCTTTTCTATGAGCTTTGGATGGGCATGCCTTTGGATTTCCTTTGGAAAAACCTAGATCTACCAACAAAACACCCATATAAAATTTGCACCATTTTCACCAATACAAGTTTTCTCATACATTTTATCTTTAGGTGTCTTTTCATTTGATACTCAGTGTATAGGCATAGCAGGAAACTATTTGTTGAAAAAAGAATGAGAGAAAAAAAGATGCTTGCTGTCAAAATAATAGGAAAAGTGCCATATATTTAAAGGATGAATACATGGTATGGTTCTAAAATATTGACACTGATTTTAAAGTATACTTTACAAATATATCCTTATGGTGGAATTCTTTTTTAAAAAATATGCATCACCTAATAACTTTATTACATTTACTAAGTTTGGAGCACACACTATGATTTTTATACAAGACCACATTAAAAAATTTTTTTAAATTTTATTTGAAACAAAAATCACAACAATTTATCTGAAATAATGAATTCAGTTTTCTGATGGAAGCTATATTTGAGAGTTTATTCATGTAGCATTCTCTTTTGCAGAAAAATAAAATTGAAACACAAAAGGAGAATTAAGTTCCCAAGGTCATATATCAGGCTAGTGACTGAGAGGAGATTAGAATCCAGATTTACTGATACTTCATTTCTTGCTGTGTTCTCATCTTGCAAAGGTCTGACTACAATGACACAGTCTAATTGGTTCTTAACAACACAGTTCATATCCCAAATGCCATGGGAAGCTGGCTATACCTTGGAAGGGCTACGTTTTTGTCTTTCTAGAGATGTCCAAACAGTAGTCAGACACCTCCTGTCAGGAAGTTTAGGGAGATTTCTATGTTGGTTTAAAGGAAGTAGAACTTAAATTAAGCTTTGAAGAATGGATAAGATTTAGCAAAACTAAGAATAGAAAAGCATTTCAAAAGTGTTCCCAGAGGAGAAAGAAATGGGCACCTTCGAGGGGCAATAAGCATACCACTATATACTGAATAGAGGTTGGCACCAAAGGCTGGAGAAATCAGAAGGAATAAATGCGGGGGGTGGGGTGCTCTTGGAAGTTTACTGGAAAGGAGATGCTAATTAAATGTAATGGACTAATGAGAGCAGGCCTGGATGAATGGTCAAGGCACAGGGACCACTGAAAATGAAAGATACTGTGACATTTTTTAAGAATCTGAATTTCAGTCCAGGTTTATATCTGACACATAATACCAATCAGGATTCTTGCACCCTTGCTATATTCAGAGGTGGAAGAACATTCCCTGTGTCTTCTAAATGAAGCCGGTAGTCACACGTGGGAAGGTGGTTTTTCTGAGAGGCAAGATGCTCTGATTGAGCAGTAACACATGGTGCAGACTCAGGAACCATAGGTGTGAAATCCAGAGAGTTTCTAAAATACGGTCCCAAGTGAACACAGAAGTAGTATAACATGGAACAATGCAAGAAGGAAGCTGAGAGCCATGCAAATGAGCAGAGGCAACTCAGGGAGGAAAAGAAACAGTGATATGTTCAGACAAAGGGAACCTGAGGAGCCTAATACCAAATAGGAAGTACAAGGTGAGGTAAAAATACATGCTAATCTCATCTTTCTTCTCCCCCTGCTTCACCTTCCCCCTTTTGTGTAAAAGGCACCAGCAAGTGTACAGGTAACATCATTAATTTAAAGCAGATGTGGACCCAACCGAAGCATGAGGTTCAGAAGCAGATGCAGATTCACAGAGATTCAAGAGCCCACAAATGATGTTAGACTGTCCATTGCAGCATAAAACACGTGGACAATCATCAAAACTCAGGGAAGAAACCTAAATCTTCATATCCAGCAGAAAGTAGGCCAGTAACTTAGGGATTTAAATTGATGTATGAGCCCCACAGGGCAGAAGGAAATCCAATGTACTCCAGAACCAAATTACAAGGTAGAAAAGTTCAATTTACATAAATACATGGATTAACTGATCTGAGAATTGGGTTCAATTGTCACCTTTGAGAAAATCAAACCTGTCATATTAATAACAAGAGTATTAAGATGATCCCGCTATTCAAATGCTAATCACAATAAGGGCTTTTCTACGTGTTATCAAGCAAAATAAAACATTTTTCAAATATAAGGATTCTGCAAACTTTGTAATACCTCCAGAGCCTTATTAAAAGTGTTCACACATTTAAATAAAATTAAATTCCAGCCTAATCACCTCAGGCAGATATCTCTCCATGTGAGGTGGATTTCCCCCAGAGTTGCATCTGAATAACCATACACGGGAGATCTCACAGTCATTTATCTCTCATGGCATTACAGATATTGAATTCAAATTATTCATTTTGCATGAATGTAGTGGTTTAATAATCTAGAGACCTTGTCCACACTCTTAGCACCTAATCACTTTGGCCGTGTAACTGTGCCAAAGAGTGTTGATATTAAAAAACAAACAAAAATCTCCTAGAATTGGAATTTATTTCTGAAGGCAAAGCTGTCATGCACTTTTACCTAGGCAGAATTATCAATGCATATTCAGAATACTACACCCCAGATCCTTCAGGTACTTTGGAAATAAATGACAACTTCATTATGCCTATAGCTCTGTACCCTTGGCACTGAGCAAAAAAGCCAGAGACATGGGCCCAGATTCTGAGCTTTCTAAAGATTTGCTTCAACCTTCTACCTTAGGGATGATTATCTTGAGGTGTTCAGCAAAGTCCTGTGGATTTATTCTCATCACTGTATAAAGTGTATCAGTCAGGATCGTGAACAACAACTCTGAAACTGCCACTCTAATCTCTGTGGCTTAACACATTAGAGGCATATTCCTGAGTCCTGATTCTTCCCATCTTGTGTAGCCACCATATTTAAGGGCCTTCCTTCGGGCCTTCAGTGAATTGTTTACATTCACTCAGTCAACTAGGAAAAAGAAGAAATTCCAGTATTATGGAACAAGAGAAAATGGAATTGAAGAGCCCATCTCTGCTACACAAAGTGACTGATTTGTGTTTAACTTTAAAAGGGTGGAATTTCCTAGGAGAAATATACCATCAATATACCATCAAAATCATGGTAGAATATGACAAAACCTCCAAGGGAAATTACATTGTTTCAACAAGGAAACTTCTAAGGAAAAATGTTCCCCATCTATAAATTCCCCCAGTCATTCACTTACTTATAAATTAAGTACCTGATCTTTATCATGCCTGGGAGCTGAAGAAGAGCTTCTGCAATCCCATCTTCCACACCTAAGAACATCTAGGGTACTGGAAAGGTGTATGTGTGTGAGGGGAGAAAATAATGAGAGAAATATATGGGAGGAGTGCCAACATAGATGAATTACAAAGGTTCTGCTTCTTTTGATTTCTTCTTTGCTTCTGCTTTAGTCTCAGAAATTCTTTATCATAATAGGTTAGCGTGTGAACTCTCAACTCCTGGCATCCAAAAAAGGAGTAAGATACATGGAGTGTCTTTCCAAGAGGAAGCAAAAAATTAAAACACTTGACATCAGTTGAATAAAAAATTAAATATTTAATTGATCTGGTCTGCAGCAAAAACTTCAAAGGTTAATACCATGTAATCTAACCAATGTTTCCATGAGTATCTAACCTAAGGAATTCATTCAACAGAGGCAGGAGGTTATATAAATGGACATGTTCATCACAGCATTAGCTACAATAGTAAAAAAGAAAATAGCCAAAATGACTAATAATAAACTTACATTTACTTGATGGGGTATAATAAAGTCATTGAAAAGATACTAACATGCTACAGGGGAATGTTTATGTTAATATTTTAATACAAGTAGACAATGAAATGTTTCTTTTACATTAACTATACATATATAATATACAATGATGAAACCAATTGCTTTATTGACATGGTAAAATGACAATTTCTTTATTCAAACATTTTTTAAATCGCTACATCAACTTCTCAGTAATTAAAACATTTATACCATCTGTATGTGGGAGGCAAAACATATAATTTATTATTCATTCTGAAAAAAACGTCATTGCACAAATCCACCGGTATTTATTACCTAGAATTTTCTATTTCAGTTACATGTTGCTCACTCCCACTGTATTGCTTTCCTTTTAACAGGATCCTTCCCAAAGGCTATCTTCCATTTGCTTCCTTCTAGCACCTTCCATCCAGAGTGATCAGGTTCCTTTTGACCCTCAAAGAGCTGATTCCTGGGCAGTGGAAAAAGCCCAAAGCAATGATGCGCTGGTGTTCACTACTAGCAGTCATCATTCACTGTCTCTTCCCTAAAATCTAGAAGATCCATAACCTCTGGGTTACAAGAAACTGTTTCCTGCTGAGGCATACTTGAGGCAGGAATAGTTTGGGGAAACAACAATAGATATCTTCCAGAACTAATCTGAGAATTTAATGAGATAATGTATGGAAAACTTCAGGAGCCCTATCCTGGAGTACATCGCTTGAGGTCAAATTCTGACTCTTCTCCTTACTAACTGTGGCATTGGGTCATTTATTTGAAATTTAAATAAATGTAATAATTTATTCAAAATTATTTAAAATTGGGTGCCTCATTTACTTCATCATGTAAAAGAGAAAAAGAAGAGAAGGAGCTGCTGCCTCCTAAAGTTGGTATAAGGATTAAGTGAGATAATGCATGCACTTTCATACAGCATTACTTGCCATATTGTATCTACTCAAATATGTTAGCTATTTTCTCAATAATTATTATGATACTGACCAGTTTATGACATCATTTAAATACAGCCGAAGCATCTAGTGCTGGTCAAGTGTAAAATTCCTCAACTTCCTTTTTTTTTTTTTTTTTTTGAGACAGAGTCTCACTCTGAAGCCCAGGCTGGAGTGTAGTGGCACCATCTCGGCTCACTGCAACCTCTGCCTCCCGGGTTCAATGATTCTCCTGCCTCAGCCTCCTGAGTGGCTGGGACTACTGGCGTGCACTACCACACCAGGCTAATTTTTGTATTTTTAGTAGAGATGGGGTTTTACCATCTTGGCCAGGCTGGTCTCACTCTCCTGACCTTGTGATCCACCCGCCTCAGCCTCCCAAAGTGCTGGGACTACAGGCATGAGCCACCATACCCAGCACCTTCCTCAATTTTCCACTCTCTTTTCTACAAATGTGATCTCCGTTTTAGATGGCAGGGTATCCTACTTATCGACTCCAGCTACATTCTTATCCTCATTCCTTCTCATCTTGAATAGTATTTCATATTTTCCCTTCTCCTTTCTTTACCACCAGCCTATTTTTATTATCTTTCCAGCAGAGGTTGTAAATATATTCAAATTTCTAATATTTTTTGAAAAAGAAAATCTTCCCCAGATCATTTTAAAATCTCAAGCTGCTAGTTCTTTCTCCTTACATTTTCAACTAAATTTCTAGTGGTTGTATCCATCTGTTCTGTTGTATCCTCAGTTCTCAATATAACCCGATAGTTTCTGATTCCACCATCCCATTGAATCTTGCTTTAACTAAAATTATCGATGGGCTTCATATTGACAAAATATTTTTATAACATATTTTTGGACTTCTCTGTGAAATTTTATACATTATAATGACTTATTTTACATTGTTCATATTTATTTTCTTCATTCTTTCATTTGTAAAGCCTATACTTCCCAGGCTTCTATTACTATAATTCCACTCTCATCTTTCTATCTGCACTTACTACCCTAGTAGGCTTTCCTTCTCAGATTCTTGCTCCATAGAACGATGAAAACTTCAGCATTCCCACGATTCTGTCACTTAAATGCTGCTTTTCTCTCTCAAGAAATGCTCATTAGAGCTCATGTCCTTTGCAGGGACATGGATGAAGCTGGAAACCATCATTCTCAGCAAACTAACACAGGAACATAAAACCAAACACCACATGTTCTCACTCATGAGTGGGAGTTGAACAATGAGAACACGTGGACACAGGAAGGTGAACATCCCACGCTGGGGCCTGTCGGGGGCTGGGGGACAAGGGGAGTGAGAGCATTAGGACAAATACCTAATGCATGTGGGGCTTAAAGCCTAGATGACAGGCTGGTGGGTGCAGCAAACCACCATGGCACACGTATACCTATGTAACAAACCTTCACGTTCTGAACGTGTATCCCAGAATTTAAAGTAAAATTAAATAAAGAAAAAGAAATGCTCATTAGTCCACCTCATAATACTCTTGGTTTTACCTACAATGTTTGTAGTGATAATTTCCAAATCTATATCTATATCCCTGACCAATATCCTGAGCATCAGACTGACAGCACAGAGCCTGGCATATACGAACATAAATATTTGTAGAAAAATAAATAAGCAAGGCCTGCTAGTTACAGCATTTCAATGCCCCAGATCTGCCTCAAAGGTTTAAACTAATCTAAGAAGTTTCAGATGAGGGGCAGAAACCTCTATCTTCCTACTCTTACTCTGTGAATGGCCATATTATACAGCCATTTCCCCAAACCAAGAATTTGAGAGTTATTGAGACTCTGCCTGTCTTTTTTTCTGGATCATCTTCCAGTGCATCAGCAAATATTGTTTATTTTACCTCTTCGTATTTCCCAAATTCATTCCCCTTTCCCCCATTACTATTTTACCTCTACTGCCCTAGTTTAGGCTTCATCACTTCTTGCCAGACATAGCACAGTAAACAGCCACGTACTTAATCGTATCTGTGTCTTTACCCTGTCTTAAATCTACTGTCTATATTACTGTCTATATTCTAACCCAGAAAATTTACCTAAAACACAAATAATGACCTTGCCATTTATTTCCTCTCTTTAAAACTCTTAAAAGGCTGTCAATTACTTACAGAATAATGTGTCATATTTTCAGCAGGCCATGACCCTTTACACCACTCTTTGCTATGAGCTTTATCATTTTCAAGAATTCTATTTTTTGTAGTACAACGTAATAGATAATAAAAAGTACAAATTTGGAATAATATCCCACGCACTCACAGAAGCAAACACAAACCATCTGATCTCAGAAACCTCATTCAATTAACAAAACACACACAAGAAAACAAGGCATTGGAATGAGGACAGGCAGAAACAACAGATCATAGAATCAGGTGTACAACTATTTTAACTTTAGGAATTATGAGATACTGAACAAAATAAGTATATTTAATATACTCATAAATTAAATTTTAAGTGTAAGAAAATATAAAATGCCAGGCATATTTTAGAATAGACAAGGAATCTAAAGGAACTATGTTTTAAGACAGAGTGCCTGAGATTTCTCTAGAACTGTTAACGGTAAAAGTCAATAATTTCAGGAAAATCGCATATGTATTTTGTACTATAGTGAAGTGCTAAATAACAAAGACAAGGAAATAACTCTAGAAATAGCCATAGTCAAAGGGCAGATTACTTACAGAGGAACGATTATTGAAATGATAGCTGATTTCTCAACTGCGAAAATAAAAACTGGGGTATAGTATAATAAAATATTCTGTATCTGATGGGCAGTAACTGTCAACGTGGAGTTGTACACAAACTGAGTATATCTTTCAATAACGAGAAATAACAAACAAAAAGTGTAATTTTGTTACCCATAAACCCTCTCTAAACTAATGATGGGGTTGTAAACTGATATGACCAGTTTAGAAAATATTTTGGCATTACCCGGTCCAGTGCAGTTGGACATGCACACAAACTTGAGCCCAAATTCTACTCATACACATGTTCCATAGGAGAAACTCTTACATATGTGCATGAAGAAATATGTCTTAGAATATTCATAGCAGCATTGGATGTGATAGTTCCATGGTAGAAATAATGTAAATAGGCATCCTATTAAAATGAATATATTGTAATATATTAATGGAATGCAAAAATATGGAGAAATCACAAAGTGAAGCAAACAAATATACATAGTATGATTCCACTTATATAAATTTCCAACTGAATGGAAAATTGAACTATATATAAATATATTTTTGAGACGGAGTTTTGCTCTTGTTGCCCAGGCTGGAGTGCAATGGCGCAATCTCGGCTCACTGCAACCTCTGCCTCCTGGGTTCAAGCAATTCTCCTGTCTCAGCCTCCTGAGTAGCTGGGATTACAGGTGCCAGTCACTATGCCCAGCTAATTTTTGGTATTTTTAGTAGAGACAGGTTTTCACCATGTTGGCCAGGCTGGTCTTGAACTCTGGACCTCAGGTGATCCACCCACCTCAGCCTCCCAAAGTGCTGGGATTACGGTCTGAACAATATATTTTTAAAAGATAGGAACATGTGTGGTAATTGTTTTTAACTTTTATTTTAGGTTTAGGGGTACATGTGAAGGTTTGTTATACAGGTAAATTCGCATCACGGGAATTTGTTGTACAGATTATTTTATCACCCAAGTATTAGGCCTAGTACCCAATGATTATTTTTTCTGCTCCTGTTCCTTTCACCCTCCACCCTCAAGTAGGCCCCAATGTCTCTTGTTGCCCCCTATATTCAGTTGATGAGTTCTCATCATTTAGCTTCTACTTCTAAGTGAGAACATGCAGTATTTGGTTTCCTGTTCCTGAGTTAGTTTGCTAAGGATAATGGCCTCCAGCTCCATCTATGTTCCTGCAAAAGATATGATCTCATTCTTTTTTACGGCTGCATAGTATTACATGGTCTATTTGTACCACATTTTCTTTATCCAATCTGTCATTGACGGACATTTAGGTTGATTCCATGTCTTTGCTATTGTAAATAGTGCTGCAATGAATATTCACACGTATGTGTCTTTATGGTAGAATGAATTCTATTCCTCTGGTTATATAAATGGTATTGCTTTCTCAAATGGTAGTTCCGCTTTTAGGTCTTTGAGGAATCGCCATACTGTTTTCCACATGGTTGACTAACTTACACTCCTACCAACAGTGTATAAGTGTTCCTTTTTCTCCACAACCTCACTAGCATCTGTTAATTTTGACCTTTTAATAATAGCCTTTCTAACGGGTATGAGATGGTATCTGATTGTGGTTTTGATTTGCATTTCTCTAGTGATCAGTGTTATTGAGCATTTTTTTCATATGCTTGTTGGCTGCATGTATGTCTTCTTTTGAAAAATGTCTGTTCATGTCCTCTGTCCAGTTTTTAATGGAGTTGTTTGGTTTTTCTCTTGTAAATTTGTTTAAGTTCCTTAGAGATGCAGGATATTGGACCTTTGTCAGAAGCATAGTTTGCAAATATTTTCTCCTATTCTGTAGGATGTCTGCTTACTCTTTGACAGTTTCTTTTTCTGTGCAGAAACTCTTAAGTTTAATTAGATCTCATTCTCAATTTTTGTCTTTGTTGTAATTGCTTTTGGTGTCTTCATCAATGGATAAAGAAAATCAAGAAAATAATAAACACAAAGATTAGAACAGTGTTCCCTGAATGGAGTGAGAAGGAGATGGAAAAGGGAGAAAGACACCATGGGGTTCAAAAGTAATGGCCACTTTTAAAATGTGCAAGGGATACAGAGTCATCATTCTATTGTTGTCCTTTATATCTTATCAATATTTTTCTAAATATTCATGGACATCTAACCAAGATGTAATACAGAAAGTTAAACAGAAAGAAGAAGATCCACTCCTCACTCTCAGTTTCTTCCTAATTGCATGTGCATAAGCTTCTGTTGCCTAGAATACTATTCTCTCTTATTTCTGCCTGGTTAACACCTGTGGTAACATTTTCTCCTGAAAGTTTTTCATCAAATTCATGATGGATCTAAGAAAAACTGTCCCTCTCTAACCCTTCCATAAACACATACATACATACACATCTTTCTTTGCTCTCTTTCAGTACACATCAGGCTTTACCATGTTTTAGCTAATATGCCAAAGACATCTTGCTTGCATCGCTCCCAATAGACTCTGAACTTCATAAAGTGAGCATTTTCTCTTATATTTTATGTGCAATGCCTGGCTCATGGTAGATGCTCAATGAAAATTAAAATGACTATCACCTGAAAATAGAGATGTATCTCTGAATCCATGGCAATTCTCTAGGAGGGGTTGGAAACTGAGTGAGGTCTGACAGAGGACGAACAGAAAGAGGAATTTAAAAGCTGATTGACGATAAGTTTTATTAAGATTAAAAACCATGACAGGGGCCGGGTGCAGTGGCTCACGCCTGTAATCCCAGCATTTTGGGAGTCCAAGGCGGGTGGATCATATGAGGTTGGGAGTTTGAGATCAGCCTGGCCAATGTGGCAAAACCCTGTCTCTACTGAAAAATACAAAAATTAGGTGAGTGTGGTGGCATGCGCCTGTAAACCCAGCTACTAGGGGGCTGAGGCAGGAGAATCACTTATCGCTTGAACCCAGGAGGCAGAGGTTGCAGTGAGCCGAGATTGTGCCACTTCACTCCAGCCTGGGCAACAAAGCAAGACTCCATCTCAAAAAACAAACAAACAAAAAAAACAAACAAAAAACACTAGAGTATGATTCAGGTGTTTGCCTCTACAACGAACACCTGAAACATGGCTAGATATTGTCATTGCCCTATTCATATGCATGTTCATCTCTGCTTCCAAGTCTTTGCTTCAATCCTCCTTTCTCCTGGTACGTGGAGCACCCTTCTTTTGCACCTCTCCCATTTACTCCCAATGCATGTGTTAAAGCACAACTTAATCCCAGCAAGACAACTTGCTTCACTCACCTTCAGTGCTTACAGATCTTCCAATTAAATTAATCAATCATTAATTGAGCTGGTGAGTAGCTAGTCACTAAACATTGCCATGATTTTCATTGCCCTCTGTAAAATAAATAGCCCTCTGAAATGGGTAAGTCACTTAGGGCGTGGCTTCAGTAAAAATTTGTTGGTTTTTTTTTTTGTATTCAAAGGATAAAGTATGTTACATAATATAGAACAAAACACATCAAGAATAACTTTGGCTGTGAATTAGTGATAAACAAATGTCCAAGACTCCTAGAACCTAGTTCTCATGTAAGCTAAGCTGACACACCCTTGTTTGTACCTTCAGATGAGTCAGAAGCAGCAATAGACATTTCCATAGCTCTTCTCTTGAGGAGATATAGTCCCTCAGAGCCAAACAAAAAGTTTTTATTGAGCATGTAATATGCAATCAACTCTAAGGCACTAGGAATACAGAATGAACATTATGATTTTTCTTTGCCTTCTATGATGTAATAATTATTTGGGAGGAAAACACTACTCCATCTATTATGACAATAAATAACATAAGAGGTTATTCCATTCTGTTGCAAATATTACTGAGTATCTACAATGTATAGAACATCTGCTAAGCATTAAGAATAAATTATACAGTGCAACCTACTGTTACAGATATTTTGAATAGCTGTCATGATTTACCTATTTTCACTGTCTCTCTTAGAACCTAGAATGGTGCTTTGGCCTATTCAGTGCTCAATCGAAGTGTATTTCAGAAGACAATGGCAGCTGGGTATACATAAGAGAAGCTGGTAAAGAGTTTCTGATATATGAATACTTCAATAGTTTTGGAATTGCATAGGCCAAAGCATATTTTATGTATATTGTAAGTTATTTATTTTAAGCAAATTGTGACTAGTGCCTCCATGATATTGCTATCTACCAATTCCTGAATTCAGACCCCTTCCATCAGCCTGAACTCAAATGTTGTTTGACACACTGTTGGACTGAGTTAGCATGAAGTAGGCTATCAGTCAGATTGCCCTATGAGCACCCATTCACTGCTCATCCTTAATCTTGTCTGAATCAACTATCTAAAGAATTGCCTCAGGGCTAGGGGGACCAAGCAAGGGCAGATAGAAGGGGAGAAAGTAGAACTACTTTCCCCTGGCTTCCTCAGAATGCATGAGACTTAAAGGAAAATCACAACAGTGCCCCTGAACTTCCTGTCGTCTTTACCATAGGGAATACAGAGCCTCATTTTCTTCCTTTCCTGGGGTCTTGAGTGGCTTATGCATCCTCTAGTTATTAGCTATTTAAGTTTCCCAGTGCCACGGTCATGGCTTTTTCATAACTTTCTTTACCCTTCAATGACTTCTACTACTCCCAAGGGATAAAAGCTGGTTTATTACATCTTGAGAGCTCTTGGTTTCCAGAGATGGAATATTCTTCATTTTAAGCCTCGGTGTTTCAGCTTCACACTCTTGTTCATCAGAGATGAAAAAAGAAACAAAGGGCCAGGCATATTTGGGCATCTATCACAAGGGCCAGGCAAAGGTTAGCAGCTTATAGACATCATCTAATATAATCCTCACAACATTGAATCAGTTATTATTCTCCATTTTCAGATAGGAAATCTGAGTTGCAGAGAAATAGAAGTGAATTGCCCAAGCAATTCTATATTAAAAAACCAATAAAACTTTTAATCAAATTGTAAAAAACTCACCCCCATGGTGTTTACACTAAACTTACCAGAACCCCTTGTCCCTTGTTCCTTACTGAAAGAAGAAACAGTGACAGGCTCAGTAGATGTAGATTCAACTCTCTTAAAGCTTATAAGATTTGATTCTAAGAGCTTCACTAGGGACTCAATAAGCATTTCATAGGGAAAAAGTTTTGGTGTGTGTGTGTGTGTGCACTAAATCTGAGTTCACTATAAGTTATGACCCCTTTAGTATAAATAATTGAAATATATTTGTATTTTTTTACAGATTTTAAGATTTTTTTATTGTTCTTATATTCTAGGAATTAAGAGAAAGAGGGTGGTCTCTACAGTGTTCATTTCTTTAGCAATCCCACAAAAAAAAAACACACAAAATGTGACCAATATTTTCTTAGCCAAAACTAAATATAAAATCTGCCATCCTGAGCTGAGTAGCCTTATGCTAACTCTGGGAAATGAATGAAACTTCTTCACAACTCCATCTGGATCTTTCTATTCAGCTGAAATTAGTGTATTCAGCTGAGTCACCCTATCAATATCTAGCTAGTTATTTAGCAGTGGAGTTAAAACCTTCCACTTTTCCTTACAATAATCCAATTTCTTTCTAGCTGAAGAAAATTTTCAAGAGGAAGATATAAAATTACCAAAAGTAGATAAAGATTTTGCCTCTTTCGGGTTAACAGTAGGGATATTCTATGAGGTGTGATTCCAAAATGGCCCCATTTGGATGGGTTCAGATACAATAGGATGTCTACAAATCAGGTTTGGTATTTACTACTGAATGAGATATTGTAACTTTTCTGTTTGCATACTTGTATGTTCAATGCATTATATATGTGATTAATGTGTGTGTATTTAATGTGTATTTAATAACTCCACCTATTACCTTTTGTGGGACATGATGGATGATGTAGTAAAACTATTGCTTATGGACTACAAGAAATTAGATCCCTTAAAATATAGATATCTTAACCTCATGCCCTGTTTTTTTTTTCCTCTGTAATTGACTCCTTGAATAATTAGTCTCAAAATGAAAGCAAAATAAGGACCAGGACACTTCTATGTGGCTGCAATCCATGGGTTCTTGAATGTTGGTTGTAACAGTACAATTTCAGGCCAGAGAGAAAGGAATAAAAGGTAAGAGAAGAAGAACCACAAACAAAATTTTAGGGTAGGATAATAGTGAGTCAAGGTGATGGGCTAGAAATAAGGATTTGAGAGGAAAAGATCCCAGTGAAGTCTTAAGACAAACTGGAGACTAAAAAAAATCACCGCCAATTAAAAAAGGGTATATAATTCAAAGCATCAGTGTATTAGTCTGTTTTCACACTGCTATAAAGAATACCTGAGACTGGGTTAATTTATAAAGGAAAGAAGTTTAATTGACTTACAGTTCTGCATGGCTGGGGAGGCCTCAGGAAACTTACAATCATGGCAGAATGCAAAGGGAAAACAGGGCACATCTTTTCATGGCAGCAGGAGAGAGAGACTGCACAGGAAAACTGCCACTTTCAAACCATCTGATCTCATGAGAACTCACTATCATGAGAACAGCATGGGGAAAACCACCCCCATGATGCAATCACCTTCCACCAGGTCCCTCCCTCAATACATGGGGGTTACAATTCAAGATGAGATTCGGGTGGGAAAACAGAGCCAAACCATATCGTTTCACCCCTTGCCCCTCTGAAATCTCATGTCCTTTTTACATATCAAAACCAATCATGCCTTCCCAACAGTTCCCCAAAGTCTTAACTCATTCCAGCATTAACTCAAAAGTCCAAGTCCGAAGTCTCATCTGAGATAAGGCAAGTCCCTTCCACCTATGAGCCCATAAGATCAAAAACAAGTGAGTTACTTCCAAGATACAATGGGGGTACAAGCATTAGGTAAATGTTCCAATTCCAAATGGGAGATATTGGCCAAAACAAAGGGGACACAGGCTCCATGCAAGCCCAAAATCCAACAAGGCAGTCATTAAATCTTAAAGTTCCAAAATAATCTTTTACCCCATATCTCACATCCAGGGCATGCTAATGCAAGAGGTGGGTTCCTATGGCCTTGAGCAGTTCCGCCCCTGTGGCTCTGCAGGGTACAGCCCGAGACTGCTTTCACAGGCTGGTGTTGAATGCCTGCAGCCTTTCCAGATGCAGGATACAAGCTGTCAGTGGATCTACCATTCCAGGGTCTGGTTTCTGGGGTCTGGAGGATGGTGGCCCTCTTTTCACAGCTCCACTAGGCAGTGGCCCAGAGGGGACTCTGTGTGGGGGCTCCAACCCCACATTTCCCCTTTGCATTGCCCTAGTAGAGGTTCTGTATCAGGGATTCACCCCTGAAGCAAACTCCTGCCTGGACATCCAGGAATTTCCATAAATCTTCCAAAATCTAGGTGGAGGCTCCTAAAGCTGAACTCTTGTCTTCTGCATACCTGCAGGCCCAACACCACATGAAAGCCACCAATGCTTGGGGCTTGCACCCTCGGAAGTAACAGGCTGAGCTGTACATTGGCCCCTTTTAGTCATGGCTGGAGCTGGAGTGGCTGGGACACAGGACGTCTTATCCAAAGCCTGTATCAAGCAGTGGGGTCTTGTGCCCAGCCCATGAAAACATTTTTCTTCCTAGGCCAGGCCTGTGACGGGAAGGGCTGCCTTGAAGGTCTCTGAAATGCCCTGGAGATATTTTCCCCATTGTCTTGGGGATTAGCATTTGGTTCCTTGTTACCTATGCAAATTTCTGCAGCCAGCTTGAGTTTCTTCCCAGAAAAGGGTTTTTCTTTTCTGCTGCATAGTCAGGCTGCAAATTTTCCAAATTTTTATGCTGTGCTTGCCTTTAAAAGTTCCAGTTTCAGATTATCTCTTCGTGAACGCATAAGACTGAACACTTTCAGAATCATCCAGGTGATATCTTGAATGCTTTGCTGCTTATAAATTTCTTCTGCCAGATACCCTAAATTATCTTTCAAGTTCAAACTTCCACAGATCTCTAGGGCAGGGGTGAAATGCCACCAGTCTCTTTGCTAAAGCATAGCAAGAGTGAGTTTTACTCTAGTTCCCAATAAGTTCCTCATCTCCATCTGAGACCACCTCAGCCTGTACTTCAATGTCCATATCACTATCAGCATTTTTATCAAAACCATTTAACCAGTTTCCAGAAAGTTCCAAACTTTTTCAGATCTTTTTATCTTCTTCTGAGCCCTCCAAACTGTTCCCATCTCTGCTTGTTACCCAGTTCCAAAGTCACTTCCACATTTTCAGGTTATCTTTATGGCAGTGCCCCACTCCCAGTACCAATTTTCTGTATTAGTCCATTTTCACATTACTATAAAGAATACTTGAGACTGGGTAATTTACAAGGGCAATAGGTTTAATTTATGCACAGTTCTGCATTGCTGGGGAGGCCTCAGGGAAGTTACAGTCATGGCAGATAGTAAAGGGGAAGCAAGGCACATCTTCTCATGGTGGCAGGAGAGAGAGACTGCGGGGAAACTGCTACTTTTAAACCATCAGATCTTGTGAGAGAACTCACTCACTATCTGGAGAGAATCATATGGCGGCAACCGCTCCCATGATCCAATCACCTGCCACCAGTTACCTCCCTCAACATATGGGGTTTACAATTTGAGATGAGATTTGGGTGGGAACACAGAGCCAAACCATATCAATTAGATATCTAGAAACAATATCCCAATGTATGCTCATAAGAATGCATGGTGTAAAATGATGGAAATATAGCCATTTATTCTGTAGAAGTTTCAGTGACATTCTAGACTAAAATTTCAGCAGTTTTAATAAAAGCCACACTTGTTAGGGTAAGAGGTTCAAGTCAGATTTTGAAAATGTTGAATGGTTAAAAAATAGTTACTTGCATCTCCCTTGAAAGGAGCACAGAGTGTGAGCCTGGGATGCTGATACCAGAAGAATGGCTGAACTGAAATAACTTTAGAAGTGGCCCTAGACATATGCGCACGTATGTTTACTGCAGCACTGTTCACAATAGCAAAGACTTGGAACCAACCAAAATGCCCATCAGTGATAGACTGGATAAGGAAAATGTGGCATATATACACCATGGAATACTATGCAGCCGTAAAAAAAAAAGGATGAGTTAATGTCCTTTGCAGGGACATGGATGAAGCTGGAAACCATCATCCTCAGCAAACTAACACAGGAACAGAAAACCAAACACGGCATGTTCTCACTCCTAAATGGGAGTTGAACAATGAGAACACATGGACACAGGAAGGTGAACATCACACACCAGGGCCTGTCGCGGGGTGGGGAGATAGGGGAGGGATAGCATTCAGAGAAATAACCTAATATAGATGATGGGTTGATGGGTGCAGCAAACTACTATGGCACATGTATACCTATGTAACAAACCTGTATGTTCTACACATGTATCCCAGAAGTTAAAGTATAATAATAAAAAACAGAAGTGGCCCTAGAAAGACTATTTCCAATAAAAGGTACATATTATTTTTATTAAGAACTGAGTTAGCTCCGGAAAAGCTAGGTTGATGCTAATATGGAAAGAAAGAGACCCTGATTATTGAATTCCACAGCTTTGGAGGTTCTTCCTCCTTGACTTTTGAAAGATACTTTCAGTTTATAAAAATTTACATTGATAGTTTTATTTTAAAAAGTGTTGCTCTACCATCATCTTCCTTAAATTACTTCTGACCAGAAATTTGCTTTCTTATATTTATTCTTCTTTCTCTAATGTGTCTTTCCTTTTCTGTGCTTTTAGAATTTTATATTGTTCATTGGTTTTGAGAATTTTGATTATGATACATTCTGATGTGATTTTAGGTTTCTTTTATTTTGGTTCTTCTGCACTTCTTGGGATCTCTTGGTTTATAGTTGTAATTCAATTTGAAACTTTTTCTATCATTATTTCTTCAAATATTTTTGTTCTGTCTCCCCCTTCTTTATTGACTCCAATTGCATATATATTAGGCCACTTTAAATTGTAACAAAGATTACTAATTCTTATTTTATTTTTATGTGTTTTTCTGTTTTATGTTAGATAGTTCCTGTTGCTATGATTTCAACTTTACTAACCTAATATTCTGAATGCCTAACCTACCATTACCCTATTCAGGTTATTTTCATCTCAGACATTATAATATTCATCTCTAGAATTTTGATTTGTGGTATTTTTATATCTCAGGTATCACTGTGCTTTATTTTCTGATGCCCAGTGCCTTGAATAAAATGGTTTCATATAGTTTATTTTTCTTCTAAATGTTTGATGAGTACATCTAGTTACTGTTACTCTAGCTTGACAAGATGTAGAAGTATTATATTGAATTTTAATCACATGTTTATACTTCTATCTTGTACTCTAGGTCATCAATGCATTAAGAGCAGAAATTCTCCTATTCCTTTCTTGCATATTTGCTATTACCAGGACCTCGCAACTAGAATCTAAAGTAGTTGACTATATTCGTGCAGCAAATAATGAAGTGAATATAATAACTCATTCATTTTACACCCAGGAGTATCAGTTGCAAATGAGTACTTTACCCCAAAGTTAATTTCTCATATCAAGACTACAAGCATCATGGGGGTTTGAAATTGTGCTTCCTTCCTATGGTCTCTGACTCTAATTTTCACTTTAAAACATGAGGAAAACCTTGAAATTGATGCGATGTTGTATTGGAACAGATATTTTATCTAACCTACCATAAGTATTCCAATGAGAGTTCTAGTGCTTTGGGTATGTTTTAATGGGATGTAAAAGATAAAATAAGTATCAATTACTTGCCTGATTACTTCTCCTTACAGAATAAGATGTTTACTTAAAGCTACATAAATACTATTGATTAAATACTGGAGACAGACAAAGACGAGTATTTGACCAGATAGTTACTGCATTGGATTGAAACATATTGGGCTTAGTCCCTTCCAAATCATAAATGTGGAAAAGGCCAAAACCAGATGAGTTACTTGATCCAACTCAATTTAGTTGAGGTTTTAAAATAGTAACACTAATTTTGAAACCAACTTCAAACAATTGAAAAGCAATTGGTTCAAATAAAGTTAAAAAATATTATCACTTTATAAATTTGTGCATTAAATTGTCCTGGCTCAATTTTGTCTTTGAAAACATGCTATTTTTAAATTCACATTTTTTGTGCTCATTGTATTATAACAAAAGTATAAGATGTTTGACTTTATTTATTAGGTGTCAAGTCTGTAGGTTTGAACTAGTTCTATCTGAAAACTTTAAGGAGAGGAAAAACGTAGGCACATTTCACATTTTGAAGAAGTTACAGAAAAGGTATCTTTAAAGAAGTCTGTTTCCAAATGAAAAAAAAAATGTGACTGTCTCCCCTTTAAAAAGTTTGAGAATTTGAGTGAAAGATGAAAAATCATTCTTTCTTCATACACAGAAACCACAGGCAACGCAGAATAGTTTTACCATTTTAGGAGCTGTAGAATGGAAAATGTGAACCTGGAAGTCGACAATTCTGTTTTTTAAAAGCAACTTAAACAGGGTGTGTGGGGAGAAGTGATTATATATGTATATACCCACATATATATGAAGTTTTTTTTTTAATTGACAAACATATAGTTAAGCTGGTATAATTGAAAGTATATAAAAGGGAAAGTTAAAATTGGACTTCTTTTATTGCAAATGACTTTAAAGTAAGATTGCATTCTGTAGAATATGAATCATCTGCATGTTTATATATTCTGTTACATCAACTTCGTGAGCAACTGCCACTGCTGCTCTAGCATGTAATGTATTAATAGTAATATTAAGCAATATTCCCTTGATTTATGTAACTGTAGTTTCTCAGGACAGTATGATACCACGAATAAGCTAGGATAATGGTTGTTGTCATTTGTATTCATCACTTTGGAAGCTGCTCCAAAAACAGAACTGCTGGGAACACTTATCATGTGTGATTCCTGTTCAAGAAGGGGTTGTCACTTTAAGAAACTCTTGCTTTGTGGTAAACCACAAGCTGTTGGTCCTTTACCAGCAAAATTTGAAGTTTAACCAGTATTTTGAGTAACTGTTCCCAATAGCTTGAAATTACCCACAGGTATACTTAATAATTTCCCTGGAGTGAAGTTACACTGCAAGGCACATTCTCCCAACTAGCTATGTAGGCTGGCAATATAGTTTATATGCACAAGAACTCCCAGTACCAAAGTTTCCCCGCCAAGGGATTTTTTTTAGATTTTCCTTTAAGCATATCATACTGTAATCTCCAATTTAAAGGCCTTGGCCTCCCACCATGGCATAATAATGAGTCACTGAGTAGAGAAGTGACATTCAGAAAGCAGCTCTTGAATGAGGAAGACCTGTGGGACTGTTCCATGAAAGGTAGTTTACAGATGTCAAAGATGATTATTCACCAGGACATACAATAAAGGTAAACAGGGAGGATAAATCTTTTCTTTCTACACTGAAGGTTTTATTGTGTCCCCCCTCCTAGTTATTGCAAATCCAATTTTTCACTGGTGTCCCATATGGAGTATGGCTCCCACCAATTTTTGAACTCTTGAATTATCAGGGAACAAAATCATTGTATTATTTTTGAACTCAAATACAAATCTAGTATAGATATGGACTAGGCATTTCTATACATTGAGAAAACATGCTTCTTTTCAACTTAAAAAAAAACTACAAGAAGACATATTTCTCTGCAAACATTAAGAAACAACTCAGCTAAGTTGCAAAATACCTTCTCTTCCTAGGTTGCCAGAACAAGAAAAATTTCATAGCTTCCAGGCCATGAGCCGACCTTATTCAGGACTCAAGGGGGAAAAAAAAAAGAAAAACAGTCTGGGTAAATTCTCAGTGTAAACTGCTACGGGATGATGTTCCCGTGTAAGCCTAAAGAGAAGATGCATCTGTACCTCAGCTTCCACTTACTCTTATTCCATCCTTGGCAAAATGCTCATCAAGTTGAAAATGCCACCTCGGTTACATTTACTCAGCCACTCACAGAATATTTGCAGATTGAGTCCACACTGTCTCTATACATTTTGTAAATATTGCAAGTCAGTTGGTCAGTTTTAGCAATTGAAAGAAAATATTAAATGAGATATCAGATCCACTGTATGACTTAACTGACAAAGTCTGAAATCAATAGATGATTCCACCACAGCACTGGCTTTTTATTGCTATCTTGTCTTAGATACATTTCTTCAGTTGAAATAATACCCCAAAGCAAACATATTAAACTGAATAAACTGAAAGGGCTCTGGATGAAATGCCAGTGGCAATCCCTGAGCCAGTGCCACCTCTCCCACCCTCTGCCACCCTTCCCCTACCCTGAACAATTCCTAACATGGCTTAGTGTCTCTATAGCTTCACCTAGCTCTGTGTATAAACCCCAAGGATAAGATCATCTAATCTAGGCACAGGCCACTTATGCCCAGTATTCATCACTAAAATAAGGTATCCTTCGAAGTGGAAGTCACAGAGAATGATAGTGGGTCTTGAGAATAAGTATTAGAGTCTAAAAGAAGTCTAATAAAAACCCTGATTTTTCTCAGCATTTGTGTAACAATGATTAAAATAAATAATACACCTCACTTATATTCATAATGGTCTGATTATAATCAGTTCTCAAGGCTACCTGTACATGGCTCTCCTCCTGAACTTCCAAGGAGAAGAAACTGCACATGGTGGCAATGCTAGGGATCACTAACTCTAAAGACCATTGTTTCTTCTCAGACTTATATTCTCTGCCCTGTGCTTGAACCTTGGATGATGTCATGAGGCCTTCAGACCTTCTATAATCACTTCCTAACAATCTCCTCACAATTTCCTATCTCAGGTGCATGTTAAGATCAAAGATGCCCCTGCTAAAATTGAAGCATAGCCTTCTTTAATTTTTAATTTTTTGAAGGTATGTAGTAGGCATATATATTTATGGAATACATGAGATGTTTTGATAGAGGCATGCACTGCATAATACATCAGGGTAAATGGGGTATCCATCCCTTCATTAGTGTTACAAAAAATCGAATTATACTCTTATCCTTAGTGTTATCCTTAGTGTTACAAAAAATCGAATTATACTCTTAGTTATATTAAAGTGTATAATTACATTATTATTGACTGTAGTCATTTTGTTGTGCGATCAAATAGGTCTTATTCATTCTTATTATTTTTTTGTACCCATTAACCATCCCCACCTCCCTTCCACCCCGCCCCCTAACTATGCTTCCTAGCCTCTGGTAACCATCCTTCTACTCTGTTTCTGTACATCCTTGTTTGATCTAGGTCATGGACACATTCTAGCCTGTTCTTAAAGACTATGAAACTCAAATTTCTTTAGCTAAAACACTTGCCATCCACACTGTTTAGCTACTCATCCCACTTGATACCCCTCCATGAATCATTAGGTTTCTTTATGGCAGAAAGCTTTGTCCTGTTTTCTACTTTCTTCCCCTCCACAGGGTGCCAATGACACCATCCCCCTCGGCAAGTAGCAACCCCTCTTATAATGTCAAACTTAGAATGGCCCTGGGTGGGTGAGCTCAAGAAATGCTGGTTGCTATATGTCATTTCATGACAGTGTTTTCCAAAATAACCCATTCAACTTATGTACTAGAATATGCAGGGGGCAAAAATAAACATTTTCCCAGTAGTGTATATACTTTGCTATAAAAAGAATTAGTTTGAGTTTTCAAAAGTGAAAAAGAAATGACCATATTTTGTTAGCATGAAAGGGCTTTGGCATTCCTTCAAAAATCAAAGTGGAATAGATATGGCTTACAGATTCTATGAAGTTATTATGTGACTATTGTAAATGTAACGGAGCTTTATACAATGTCTATATTCTGATAATGGATGATATTCTGCCCACATTATTCGCCTTCCTTCTTTCTAAACTCCCTTCTTGTTTTTATTTCTGTACCTCACTTAGGATGCCTGCCCTCACCCCCATACATTATTCAAATATCTCAAGTTCTATCTCGTCCAGAAAGCCCGACCCAGCTATAGTTATCTGCTCAGAGTGATCTTGACTTCTTTATTTTGCAAGCATTCACTGATGGCCGCATGTGACAAGTTATTGTCTAGGTAATGGGGGATGAAATCTATGACTTCAACTTCCTTTTGCATGCATACACACATTGACAAACACATTTAATGCATATACAGTTTCTAACAGCCTCATGTGCCTTAGTCTTTGGCTCTCCTCTACAATGTCTTGAATAGGACTGAGCAGTTAGAGCTGAATACATACTTATTGACGCTTAAGGGTATATTTTCTCAGTATACATAGATATCCCACCTCTCCAGTAAACAGACAGTTCACCCTAGTGTCAACAGTGTATATAAAAGCTAGTGGGTTAACTTATGTAATGGTAACAGAATTGTTTAGCTCTGAGGAACCATATTCATTATCTAACTTAGTGCAAACTTAGGCATCAAATAGCAATAAGCAACTAGAAAATGTTAGAAAATGTATTATGAATTATGAATGACTCACAGCAGGATGTACATATGTAGAAATGCTTTGAATAGAGCTTGAACTTCAGGAAAGGACACTCAATCCTGATGTCCTTTGTGATGGCTACTTCCACCGTCACTGCCCAGCACCAAGCATAGCCCGCTCAAGGTAAACAAATTAGCACTAGCACTCTTCTTTGCAGAAAAGGCAGGGAACAGCATGAACCTAAGCTTCAGCTATGATGGAATGGAATCAAATGATGAACATCCAAAATTCCACTTACATTTATCCACACGTAAAGTTTCTAGAGAAGGCCCAGCAAGGTTCCTGACTATTTCTCCCTGGTTTCTCTGAAAAGAGTAGAGCAGGAGAGATATGCACTGCACTAGAAATTTAAACATCTTGGTTGACTTTGCATGTCTGCCACACTCAAGCTGCCTGAATTTCTTTCTTTTTATCCTCCAGACTGAGAATTTGTTTCCCCTTAAAAATAGTTTGGATAAAGTTTTTCTCATCTTTTGTAAAAAACTCTATAATATCAAATGTGATAATGTATGTAAAGCTTCTTTGTAACCTGTGAAGGACTACATATACACAGGGGAATTTGGGTTCACATGTTTAAAGACTTAAAGATTGGAATTAGTGGGTATAAGATACTACAGATTCTAAATATATATATATATATATTTTTTTTTATTACACCAAGATCTTATCTCATATCCTTGGTTGAACAGTCTCTTTCAAAAATTCCATATTGCCAAGATGGCTAGAATCTTAGAGCTTGACAGGAAGCACATGGGACTCCTGGAGATTTGAAATGTTGGTGTATCTTTATAGTAATGGGTGCACAGATTCAGATAAGGCTCTGTAGATAGGTGTAAATGGTATGCAAAATAAATGACATTTACTTAACATGTACCAGTGCTGGGCACTATAACCACACTTATAGCTAATGTTTATTAGGCCCTAATTTGTGTCAGGTACTGTTCTAATTGGTTTATATAATTACCTCTTTTAAGTATCACAGTAATCCTAACAATTAGCACTATAACTATCCCATTTAATATGCAAGAATAGAGAGTCATGGAGAAGTTGAGAAAATTGTCTAAGTTCCTCAGCTAGTATGTCTCAGAGCCTGAATTCCAAGCTAGGCTTTTGTATTTCAAAATTATGCTAAGTAGAGACCCTTTGAAAAAAGCAGACTGCTCCTGCAGGACCCGGGAGACACCCCAAATACTCAACTGCAGCAAGACCACTCAAGGACAGTTTGAGCTCAGACATGCCTAAGCTTGCCCCCACCTGATAGTCCTTCCCTACACACCCTGTTAGCAGAAGACAGTGCATATAATTTTGGAAGTTCTAGGCTCCCGCCCACTGCTGGTTCCTCTTTATACTACCACAGCTGATACTCTCTAGAAAGCCCACCTCCTGGCAGGAGGCCAACCAGCACAAAACTAAACTACCAAAGCTAAGAACCCTCATGGAGTCCATTGCATAGCCCCTTGCCCCCTGCCACCTCCACCGGAACAGGTGCTAGTATCCATGGCTGAGAGACCCTTAAACAGTTCACATCACAGGACTTTGTGCAGACAACCCCCAGTACCAGCCCAGAGCTGGGTAGACTTGCTGGGTTGCTAGACCCAGAAGAGGGACAACCATCACTGCAGTTTGGCTAACAGGAAGCCACATCCATAGGAAAAAGGGGAGAGTACTACATCAAGAGAACACCCTGTGGGACAAAAGAATCTGAACAACAGCTTGCAGCCCAAGATCTTCCCTCTGACAGAGCCTACCCAAATGAGAAGGAACCAGAAAACCAACCCTGGTAATATGACAAAACAACGCTCTTTAACACCTCCCAAAAAAAATCACACTAGTTCACCAGCAATGGATCCAAACCAAGAAGAAATCCCTGATTTGCCTGAAAAAGAATTCAGGAGGTTAGTCATTAAGCTAGTCAGGGAGGCACCAGAGAAAGGTGAAGCCCAATGCGAGGAAAATGATACAAGAAGTGAAGGGAGAAATATTTAAGGAAATAGATAGCATAAAGAAAAAAATAATCAAAAATTCAGGAAACACTGGACACACTTATAAAAATGCAAAATGCTCTAGAAAGTCTCAGTAATAGACTTGAACAAGTAGAAGAAAGAAATTCAGAGCTCAAAAACAAGGTCCTTGAATTAACCCAATCCAACAGAGACAAAGAAAAAAGAATAAGAAAATATGAACCAAGCCTCCAAGAAGTCTGGGATTAAGTTGAAAGACCAAACCTAAAAATAAACAGTGTTCTGGAGGAGAAGAGAATTCTAAAAGCTTGGAAAACATATTTGGCAGAATAATCAGAAAAACTTCCCCAGCCTTGCTAGAGACTTAGACATCCAAATACAAGAAGCACAAAGAACACTTGGGAAATTCATCACAAAAGATCATTGCCTAGGCACACTGTCACCAGGTTATCCAAAGTTAAGACAAAGGAAAGAATCTTAAGAGCTATAAGACACAAGCACCAGGTAACCTATAAAAGAAAACCTATGAAATTAACAGCAGATTTCTCAGCAGAAACACTACAAGCTAGAAGGGATTGGGACCTATCTTCAGCCTCCTCAAACGAAACAATTATCAGCCAAGAATTTTGTATCCAGTGAAACTAAGCACTATATATGAAGGAAAAATAGAGTCTTTTTCAGGCAAACAAGTGCTGAGAGAATTCGCCACTATCAAGCCACCACTACAAGAACTACTCAAAGGAACTCTAAATCTTGAAACAAATCCTGGAAACATTCAAAACAGAACTTCTTTAAAGCATAAATCACAAAGGACTTATAAAACAAAAATACAAGTTAAAAAGCAAAACAAACATCAAAAAAACAAAGTACACAGACAAAAAACAGCATGATGAATGCAATGGTACCTCACATCTCAATACTAACATTGAATGTAAATGGCCTAAATGCTCCACTTAAAAGATATAGAACCACAGAATGGATCAGAACACACCAACCAACTATCTACTGCCTTCAGGAGACTCATCTAACACATAAGGACTCAGGTAAACTTAAGTAAAGAGATGAAAAAAGACATTTCATGCAAATGGACACCAAAAGAGAGCAGGGGTAGCTATTCTTATATCAGTCACAACTAATTTTAAAGCAACAGCTGTTAAAAGAGACAACGAGGGACATTATAAAATAGTAGAAGGCCTTGTCCAACAGGAAAATATCACAATCCTAAACATATATGCACCTCACACTGGAGCTCCCAAATTTATAAAACAATTACTAATAGACCTAAGAAATGAGATAGACAGCAACACAATAATAGTGGGAGACTTCAATACTCCACTCACAGCATTAGACAGGCCATCAAGACAGAACGTTAACAAAGAAACAATGGATTTAAACTATACCTTGGAACAAATAGACCTAACAGATATATACAAAACATTTCATCCAACAACCACAGAATACAAATTTTATTCAATAGCACATGGAACTTTCTCGAAGATAGACCACATGATAGGCCATAAAATGAACCTCAATTTTATTTATCTTTTCAAAGAAACTGCTTTTTGTTTCATTTATCTTTTGTATTTTTTGTTTGTTTGTTTCAATTTGATTTAGTTCTTCTCCAGTCTTGGTTATTTCCTTTCTTCTGCTTGGTTTGTGTTTGCTTTGTTCTTATTTTCTAGTTCCTTGAGGTGTGACCTTAAAATGTCAGCTTGTGCTCTTCCAGTCTTTTTGATGTAGGTGTTTAGGGCTATGCACTTTCCTCTTAGCACTGCCTTTGCTCTATCCCAGAGGTTTTGATAGGTTGTGTCATTATTGTCATTCAGTTTGAAGAATTATTAAATTTCCATCTTGATTTCATTTTTGACCCAATGCTCATTCAGGAGCAGGTTATTTAATTTCCATGTATTTGCATGGTTTTGAAGCTTTCTTTTGGAGTTGATTTCCAGTTTTATTCCACTGTGTCCTGAGAGAGTGCTTGATATAATTTCAGTTTTGTCTTCTGCTAACAGGGCGTGTAGGGAAGGAATTGATAGACCATTAACGAGACTAACCAAGAAAAGAGAGACAATCCAGATAACCTCACTAAGAAGAGAAACAGGAGATATTACAACTGACACCACTGAAATACAAAAGATCATGCAAGGCTACTATGAACACCTTTACACACATAAACCAGAAAACCTAGAAAAGATGGATACATTCCTGGAAAAATATAACCCTTCTAGCTTAAATCAGGAAGAATTAAATACCCTAAACAGACCCATAACAAGCAGCAAGACTGAAATGGTAATTTGAAAATTACCAACAAAGAAATTCCAGGACCAAATGGATTCACAGCAGAATTCTACCAGACATTCAAAGAAAAATTGGTACCAATCCTTTGACACTATTCCGCAAGATAAAAAGGAATCCTCCCTAATTAATTCTATGAAGCCGGCATCACCCTAATACCAAAACCAGGAAAGGGCATAACCAAAAAAGAAAACTACAGACTGATATCCTTGATGAACATAGATGCTAAAATCCTTAACAAAGTACTAGCTAACCGAATCCAACAACATATCAAAAAGATAATCCACAATGATCAACTGGGTTTCATGTCAGGGATGCCAGGGATGGTTTAACATACGCAAGTCAATAAATGTGATACACCACATAAACATAATTAAAAACAAAAATCACATGATCATCTCAGTAGATGCAGAAAAAGCACTCAACAAAATCCAACATCCCTTTATGATTAAAACTCTCAGCAAAATATTGACATACAAAGGACATTCCTCAATGTAATAAAAGCCATCTATGACAAACCCACAGCCAACATAATACTGAATGGGGAAAAGTTGAAAGCATTCCCTCTGAGAACTGGAACAAGACAAGGATGACTACTCTCACCCCTCCTGTTCAACATAGTACTGGAAGTCCTAGCCAGAACAATCAGACAAGAGAAAGAAATACAGGGCATCCAAACCGGTAAAGAAGAAGTCAAAGTGTCACTGTTTGCTGATGACATGATCATTTACCTTGAAAACCTTAAAGACTCCTCCAGAAAGCTCCTAGAAGTGATAAAAGAATTCAGCAAAGTGTCTGGATACAAGATTAATGTACACAAATCAGTAGCTCTTCTATACACCAACAATGACTAAGCAGAGAATCAAATCAAGAACTCAACCCCTTTTACAATAGCTGCAAAAAAAAAAAGAAAAAGAAAAAAAAAGAAAAAAACCACCTTAGGAATACACCTAGCCCAGGAGTTAAAAGACCTCTACAAGGAAAACTACAAAACACTGCTGAAATAAATCACAGATGATACAAACAAATGGAAACCCATCCCATGCTCATGGATGGATAGACTAACTATTGTGGAAATTATCATACTGCCAAAAGGAATCTACACATTCAATACAATCCACATCAAAATATCAAAATCATTCTTCACAGAATTATAAAAAACAATTCTAAACTCATATGGAACCAAAAAAGAGCCCGCATAGCCAAAGCAAGACTAAGCAAAAAGAACAAATCTGGAGGCATCACACTACCTGATTTCAAACTATACTATAAGGCCATAGTCACCAAAACAGTGTGGTACTGGTATAAAAATAGGCACATAGACCAATGGAACACAGTAGAGAGCCCAGAAATAAACCCAAATACTTACAGCCAACTGATCTTCGACAAAGTGAGCAAAAACATAAAGTGAGGAAAGAACACCCTTTTCAACAAATGGTGCTGGGTTAATTGCCTAGCCACCTGTGCACATGTACCCTATAACTTAAAGTATAATAAAAAAATAAATTAACTTAAAAAAAGAAGTCATTATCCAAAAAAGAAACTTGCACACACGTTTCTAGCAGCACAATTCAAAATTGCAAAATCGTGGAACCAACCTAAATGCCCGTCAATCAACAAGTGGATAAAGAAACTGTGATATATATGATGGAATACTACTCAGCCATAAAAAGGAATTAATTAAGAACATTTGCAGTGACCTGGTTGAGATTGGAGACTATTATTCTAAGTGAAGTATTTCAGGAATGGAAAATCAAACACTGTATGTTCTAATTTGCGGGAGCTAAGCTATGAGGACACAAAGACATAAGAATTATACGATGGACTTGGGGGACTTGGGGGAAAGAGAGGGAGGGTGGCAAGGGATAAAAGACTATAAATAGAGTGCAGTGTATACTGCTCGGGTTATGGGTGCACCAAAATCTCACGAATCACCCCTAAAGAACTTACTCATGTAACCAAATACCTCCTATACCCCAATAACTTATGAAAAAAAAAAGAAATTATGCTAAGTATTTTTCTGTTCACAAGATACCAACAACACAGTGCAGAAGACCTGCTGAGTTAGGAGTGGATAAAATGCTCTGAGAAATGGCAGCTGCTGAGCATAATCATCTTCTCTTCTAAACCTTAAAGGTAGGTAGTTACAGCCAAGAGAAAGTAATTCTTGGAGAAGTACCTGGGCTTTCCTAAGAAGAAGGAAAGACTGGTGGTAACACAGTAAATGGATATGTCAGCACCATCCAACAACATTAAAGTCAATAAAATAGAACAGAGGTCCTTCTCCCCTGGGAACTACGAATGGCTAAGGTAAATGATCTTAAAGAGAAAAATAAATCATCTCAGCACAGTCTTTACAATGGAATGGCAACATACATAATAGTGTATACTCCATGGTTCTGAATAAATGTTATACAGAGATTACCATTTTAAAACAAACATGATAAATATCTTAAAAGAGATAAGGTAGGATATACTGATGATATTAATCAATAATAAGCAATAATCAAAAAGAAACAAGTAGATTTATTGAATATATAATACACAAAATATGTTACAGGATGAATAATTATCAGAATTGATGAATAGAAAGGTGGTATTCAATAACTTATTTTGAAAACATCAGAAAAGTATGACATAATGGCAAATGTAACAAACAAGTTTTTAAATATGGAATATAGAGACACAACTGTCACCAACCAATCATAACAGTACCAGAAAGAAGTAAAACAAATAAATTAAGAGGTAGAAATAGATAAAACTAGAATCAGAAGAAAGTTCTCAGAATTTAAAATATGAACACCTAAGTTGAAGAGACCTTAAAAAGTACAAAATTGTATAAAGAAAAATGCACACATATGTGTATTATAGGAAAATTTGAGACAATATCCTAACTGCTTTCAGAGAATGCAGTTATTTTTAAGTGAAAAACATTCAGATTGATACAAAACTTTTCAATACCAACAGAAAAAACAAGGCGACAGAATATTAACATTTTCAAAGTGTTGAAGGAAAATAACTTCAATCCTACAGCAAGGAATTTTTTTTTTAATTTTAGGATGCAGATGATGGCAACGATAATAAAACCCTTCTTTAAAAACCCTAAAAGAAATCCTAGAGGATGCTCCATGAAATCTGAAAAATAAGGGTAACCAAATACCCCAGTAAAGTGTGTTGTTGTCTAAAACATGAATAACATAATGAAGACTTTGAGAATTTATACCTGAGTGGTGGTGATGATGAAAACAGATGGGAGTTTGCTATCCATCTGAGGACATCCACCCTAACTCCCCATTATCTCAACCTTTTATGGCTAGTGAATTACGTCTGAAACAACTTCCTTCTCCTAATGGTGCTTTCCTCTAATGATTTAAAGGCACTACCTATTCAGAAGAGTTGACTGGTTGTATAGGAGCCAAGAAGAGTACTCAACAGAGGGTGGGTGCTGTACTGGTTTTCTATTGCTGTATAACGAATTGCTGCAAACTTAGAGGTGTAAAACAGCACATATTCATTATTTCACAGTATCTGCATGTCATGAAGTGCAGGCACACTTTAAATAGGTCCTCTGCCCTAGAGTTTCATCAGGTAGCAATCCAGGTTTGACTGGGCCTGCAGTCTCATCAGAGGTTTGACTGGGAAAAGGTACACTTCCAATCTCCATCAGGTTGTTGGAAGAAGTCATCCTGAAGCTACAGGACTGAGGTCCCGATTTTCTTGCTGGCTTTCATCCAGGGCTCATCTCCATTCTGCAGGCCACTTGCAGTTTCCTATCACGTGGCCTTCTCCGTAGGCAATTCACAACATGACTACTTGTTCCATCGAGACAAGCAGGAGAATCTATCTCTCTAGTCTGCTAAGACAGGGTAATATATAACAAAATGTAATCATGAGGTAAGGGGTATCATTCCATCAATGTTTTCTATGGTGTATTGGTTAAAAGCAAGTCATAGGTTCTGCTTGCACTGGAAGGGAGGATATTTATAAGGACATGACTTATTGGGGGTCATCTAAGGTATGTCCACGACAAATGCTAGAGTTTTCCAATTTGAGGCTTATTGCCTCCCTTTAGATGTCCAACATGGCCTCGAATTTGGGCCTGGCTATTGCCATAAAAGGTAACTATTAGGAAAATGAAGTAGCATGCCAAATTTTTACACATCTGAAGAATATTATTATACATAAATACTACAAACTAAACAGCATATGGTATATAAAACAGACTTATTGGAACAGATGGCCTAAGAATAGAAAATAAGCACAATAAATACTCTCAAAGATAGGAGAGAGGGTATTAATATAAAGCAAAAGCAATGAATCATAAAAAGTTGGAAATACTAAGAATGCAGAATATGGTAGCTGAAATATTTTAAATGGCCTAAATAGATGAGTATAACGAAAGAGTGAATGAGCAAGCTCAAAGATCAGATTGAGGAACTCTCAGAATACAAAACAGGATAAAGAAGATGCAAGAGAAAAGTTAAGCAATACATACAGAAGATAGATGTAGAAGTCCCAACCTCTGTAAGAGTTTCTGAAGAACAAAAAGTAATAAACACAGGAAAGGAAATATTTGCAAAAGCTAATGAGGATAAAATTCCTAAAATTAAAACAAGATGTGAGACTTCAGACTGAAAGGGCCCAGAAAGGTCTAATTAGGATAAGTAAGAAAATATCCCTACCTAAACACTTTAGAAGTAGCAAACACAGAGACATCTCCAGAAAAAAATTCTGGTTTTCTATAATGAAACTGAATGAGATCAATCTCAGGTTTCAGAATTATTATTTCGTTAGCTAAATGGCAATAGGGAGGTAAGTAAAAATATTCTCAAGCATGTCAGCCTCGGAAGATTTAGGGATACAAAAATCCACTTGGAAAAATACTCTAGGGAGAGGCATTCAAATAAGAAAACTACAACCAGGTAGATACGGCAACCTGTATAAGAAGTAAGGATAATTTAGTATTTTAGCAAAGACCATAGTTGTGCCTTGAAACTAGGATGAGAGAAGAACAGTAGTCTATATTGTGATATAAACCTAGAACTAATATTCAGTAGAGATGAAGTAGGTGGAAAGGCCAAAAGGATTTGAGAGTCTGATACCTTTTCTGACTGGTTATGGAAGAGATATAGATAAAATATTTAAGAGATCAACATAGACATAAATATGAGAAGTGTTCTTTGCATAAAGATAGTGTAAAAACAAAAGTAGAATATATAATTTTAAAACCATCAGAAGAAAACCTTTCATGGCCAACGCAAAAAGGGAAAGAGAAAAAAATTTAAAAAAAAGAAAGACATTAAAGGAAAAATGTAAAATAAAGGAACAGAAACAAATTCTAATATAATAATATTAATCTATAATATTATTGGATTAAATTCACAAATGAAAAGACCATAACTCAGACTGAAATTAAAAAGAAACATGCAAAAATATATTATCTGTAATGATTTGAAAATAAGAACTGAAAATAAAAGATGGAAAAAATATGTCATGTAAACATAACCAAAAGACATCTGAAGGAGTGTTATTAATATCTAGCAAAATATAATTTGAGACAAAAATATTACAAAATATCAAAGAGGTTCATCATAATGGTAAGAAGTACAATTGGTCAAGAAAATAAATTATAAATAGTTATGACTATAATAATACAGTTTCAAAATACATAAAGCCAAACCAAAGAAAAATATAGAGACCCTGTGAATTCTTGCTAGAGATTTTATCATACTATTCTCAGAAATTGATAGACCCAGGAGGCGTAATGAACAGATATATAAAAAACATAGATAATATCATATAGAGATCAAATCCAGTGGTGAAGTGACTTATTCCCTTCATGTTTATTTCCTAAGGGGAGAGTAAACCCTGCATGTGGTAGGTTCTCCCTTCCTAAGCTACAAACAGTTGGTTCAAGGTAATCCACATACATCTTGTAACTGGGTATAATAAATCAACATTAGTAATCTCTTGCTACAAATTAATTTCGGATTAAACACAATATCATAATTATGATCTCTTAGCAATTATCAATTCTTTATCTGGCTAAGTGCTAACATATCATAGTCATTAGTTAAACCTGATTCTTCCAAGCATCTCAGCAAGTACCTTAGTATTTAATGCTTCAACTCAGTAATAATCAGCTGGCAGTTTCTCCATGTGTATCAGCCTGGCCTGCTGACCTTCACACTGATATTCAGCCTTTTTGCCACATATCCATGACACTTTGTGATTAGTGTTACCAAATTAAATACCAGAGCACAGAGTTTAATTTGAATTTCAGATAAATAACAATTTTTTAAACTATGACTGTGTGCCAAATATTGCATGGATATACTTATAAGAAACCTAGCAGGCCTACTTGTAATTCTGTATTAAATTGACCTTAAATACCATGGCCATTAATACTTGGTACTTTTTTCTTTGTACTCACTTTTGCCAGAATTGAGTTTCCTCCTTCTGGCAATTGTTCATTGCCCGCAGACTTAAATCTGCTGCCAAGACAAAGGAAAGAAATGTGCATTTTTTTCCTTGATTCTAATGAAATAGGTATTTTCTCCAATTTACAGAGGATAAAACTGAAGATAACATTAATTCAAAACAACACTTGACATCCTAGTCTAACAAGTGGACTCAATCCTACAATCCAATGTAGTCTGAGTCCAAAGCCATTTTCTCTACACTGAATCACCCTGGGATATGTGAGCAGGGCAAAATTTTTGCACAGATGGAGGAGTCTTGACTGAGGCAAGGCATGTGGTCAAAGAATTTAAGATAATTATCTTGGTAATGGTGGTGCCTGTACTTCTGTAAGCTGCATAGTTGAGCTTACCCTTCTGCTTCTGATAGGTGATCTCTTGGGAATCCAACAGGAAATAATAGCGAGTTTTGACGGAGAAGAGCAGAGAGAAGAGAAATCCAAAGCAATACCTTGAAACCCCATTAACTTTTCCCACATCCAGAGACCCAGAATATGTCATTTTACATCACCATGTATAGAACAAACAAAGCTTAAATTCTATGTCAGAAGATGCATTAACAAAACCCAGTGCCCTTTCCCCCCTACCCTCCTTTAAGGAGAAGATACATGGCTTCTATCCTTAGGAAAATCACCTCAATTATATGAGCTAATTATTTGTGTTCTTTCTTTTTCTCCCCTCCCCGCCCCGCCTTCCCGCCTTAATTATGGCCACCTTTAAGAGAATCCCATTGCTTTTTTAAAAAACAGATGATTGAGCCACCTATTAGAATGTAAAAGAACGTGCTAATTGGAGTTCACATCAAATAATAGAGCACAGTTTAAATTTATACATATAAAACACATTATCTTCACCCTTACATTCCTAACATCACAGGCTCAAAACAGCAAAATGACCCACAGTCACCTTGAATGGGTCGACCGTTACAACATGACAATGAGTGCTTTTTTTGTTGTTTTGTTTTTAGTCTCTTTCAACCAGAAGAAACTGCTCTTAACTGTGAGATTATGCAGCTCTGTTTGGAAAGCTTTTGTGAGTCCCTATAGTGTAATGATTTTCCTTTAGAGAGCATGTAATTTTAGATTCTTGCATAACAGCACAGATTTTTATGGTATTACTAAACTTTGTAATTTTATTTCCCTCTGACAATTAAGTGCACATTGATGTTACGGAATTTTTTCTTCCTTCCATCACAGTTGGATGAAATTGGAAAGGCAGACTACGGTGTGTTGGGAGTGCTCATGTCTAGAAGTGTAAACGTTTTGTGATTCCCTTGTTGAAGATCCATTTCACACATAGGCAAATCCATCACATTGCTACAGTTTACTTTCAGTTGCAAACAAGCTGTAACCTAAAATACACAATGCACCAACGAAAAACAATCAATATGTCGTTTATGCACTCCCTTTGTTTAGGAAATAGTTTAACAGTTTACAGTACATTAGCTCAGATGTTTAAACTAACCTTTTTGCAGAAAGTGAGCATCTTCCAAATAAATACATTTTTCTCCTAGAATTTGTCGTTTCTTATCACCAGCCACATCTCTTTCATGTCTATTGCACTCAGACCTGGGCAATAGCACCTATATTTTATCAAGACCCTTCACTGTTTCGCTTTGCTATGTAAATGAGACACATCATTTTTTTCTAGTCCAGGCAGCTGGCAGACAAATTTATTTGCCTGTAAACTAAGCAATACAATTTGAACATGCATGATTCACCCTGTCCCTTGGAGGCAAGGTGAAGGCTTCTCTACCACAAGCATAAGTGTTCAGTGACCAATAGGTGTATGACAATCAGCCCTTGAGTCCCTCTAAATTGAATTTTGTAATTTATCCAAGAATCTCTAAGAATGGTAATGCTGTCTTTTAATCTTCATCTGTTGGCTTTAATCCATTCCCTGATGATTAGAGTTCGGCAGACTTGCTAGGGCTTAGTGTTTCTTCTCCTAGGAAGGCTTATTTGATCAATAGTATGATCCCAAGACAGGGTGGATAGAAACTCTGAAATCCAGTCTAGCTCAGCCTCTACTCTGAGGTCAGGTGCAACCATTTCCCACTGGAAATCACTTCCCATAGTCAGCAGATTTCATGTTCTTATACTCTATCACTTAGATTTGAGAAATTGAAACCCTACATAAACATTTATGATCTTCATTCCATGAAGTAACCCTACCCTAAAGTCTACCCACTATATATGGTATGGTATTAGGACAAGCTCTTGCTCCTTCCATGATATATGAATATATCCCATTAAAGACTAAATGTTTGTTTCCTCCCAAAATCCTTACGTTGAAGTCTTAACCCCTAATGTGACTATATTTGGAGATTGGGACTCAAAAGAACTAATTAAGGTTAAATGAGATCATAAAGATGGGGCCCTGATTGCATAGAATTGATGCCTTTATAAGAATGTGCATCAGAGAGCTCATACTCTTTCTCTCTCTGTATGCAGGCACCAGTGAAAGGTCACAAGAGGACATAGCTAGAAGGCAGCCAGCCATCTGCAGGCCAGGAAGAGACCAACCAGAAAACAACCAGACCGGCACCTTGATTTCAGAGTTCAGATTCCAGAACTGTGAGGAAATAAATTTCTGTTGTTTAGGCCATCTAGTGTGTGGTATTTTGTTATGGTAGCCCAAACAAGCTAATGCAGACTAATAAGAATAAGATGTTGTAGTAACCATCTCAATCTTTTTGTAGTTTTTCCAAAAAAGTCACAGATGAGTCTGGACTCCTTTTCCACACAGAAAACACCATCTCCAAAATTATGCAATTGAGAAATGAAGATGTGTAGACGTGTGGTCTTGGATTTAGCTTCAGGGAAATGCTCATGGTTATATTTGCTTTAAAATTTGAAGATTGTTTCTATGAACTCTTCTGAATAAACACAAAATGGCCAAAAAGGAAATAAAAAGAAACTTTCCCCAATCAGTGGTCTTTCCACTTTGTCCAGTGGCAATATCACATACCTCAGAGATTTTGCCAGGGTAAGATTATGGTGCTAGCCCATCTGTCCTTGATTCTGTAAATACTCACTTTTAACGTGGGTTAAAACCACCAATTCTCCATTGATTTTTTTTCTAAATTCATGGATTTTTTTTTCCAAATTTATGGAGCTCAGTTTTTAGGCTGATTAGACTGCAGAATTTAGTGGCTATGCTTGCCTAAGAAGAGTGAACACATAGAATAGAGCATAAAATGGAACAGGACCGCAGCCACTGTCACATGATGCTAGCCTTTCTGTGGTCACTTTGCCCACAGCTTCTCAAGAAATTCTCCAGCAAAACTGACCCATGTCATTTGCAATGGTTGCTTAATAAAAAATTCCATTCAGTCCAAGGAAGTAACAGAATACTTTGCCTAACATACTAATAATGACTCACAATACATAGGTCATGTCTTTTTTAAGTGTGTGTGTGTGTTTCAATGAAATGAGAAGACTTTCATTGAAATAGTGATTTTTTTTTTTTTTTTTTTGAGTCAGAGTCTCGCTTTGTCACCCAGGCTGGAGTATAGTGGGGTGATCTTGGCTCACTGCAACCTCTGCCTCCCAGGTTCAAGCAATTCTCTTGCCTCAGCCTCCTGAGTAGTGGGATTACAGGCACACGCCACCACGCCTGACTAATTTTCGTATTTTTAGTAGAGACGAGGTTTCACAGTGTTGCTCAGGCTTGTCTCGAACTCCTGACCTCATGATCTGCCTGCCTAGGCCTCCCAAAGTGCTGGGATTACAGGTGTGAGCCACCACACCCAGCCTGAAAGAAACATCCTGTATGCTGAAAACTGTGGAGACTCAAAGATCAAAAATGGACAAAGATCAGAAGTCCACACTTCAGGAGCTCAGTTGGCATTAGATTTCTTCTTTCTCATGGCATGACTGTTTCCAAGTGGCTCACCTTAACCTTCACTCCTTTTGTCTTCCCAAATTCAGAACTTTCATCTAAACCTCTGGGATATCCCCTAAACCATATATGTTTTATTAGGAGTTAAATAAATTTGGAGGAGAGAACAAGCTTAACATCCTCTTGGCCTGTGACACGTGATTAGCAGATTTATCCAATAAGACCTCAGTGATCCTGATTCTCAGGCCACAGCTGTTTGCACTATGACTTGCATTTCCTCCACTTTGTGACTGAGTATTGTGATGAATGCCTCTCTCCCCACTTACCTGGCCCAAATCACTTCGGTCTCTACATCCTTCCCTGGGACTAGGTAGTCAGACTAGGCATGTACTTCTCTGTCTCAAACTCCATCTTCCATTCTTGGTGTGACTGCAACTTCCAATTGGAAAGAGCTGAGAGGGCAGCTTGTGTACAAGCTGGCCGAATTTAAAGCAGGATTTATGAATCTTGAGTGAGATTTTCACGCTGTCTATATCACCGTGAAATTATCTGCTGATTCCATTTAGTAAACAAGGCAGCAGGTTGAAGCCGGCTGTTCCCAGCCCAGCAGAGAGACTGTGTGGTAGCAATGCTGATGTGTCAGTGCAGAGACAATGGGACTGCTGTTGGGGAGGTGGGCTTGTCCACCCCAGCATCGCTCTTCTAGTGCCCGAGTAGGAGGCAGTTGAAGAAAAGCAAAGGCATGTTTGCACACTGTCTCTCCACTCATTACTTATGCACAGCATATATTATTCAAAATAAGCAATTATCTCAAAGAAAACAAAGCTATTTGCATTTCCCAGGAGAGAATTTGCCCTCTGAGGGAGTTGGTGTCAGGCAGAGAGCAAGAAACCACTGACTGGAGCAGAAATAGTATCATTTTCTCTCTGCAGGACAAAATCCAAACACTTCAGCCTGGCATGCCCAGCCTGTCGCATGGTGGTCCTTCCCGGCCTGATTTTGTTTACTTTCCACAAATGCACAACACGTTCCTTGCTCTTGAGCTGAACTTACTTCTTATTCAAAATAAAGACCAATGTTGTAAGCATCAGTATTTAAGAAAATCCGAGTAAAACAACCTTAAATTTGTTTTAAAAAATCCTATTGTTAATTCAATCTGTTTTTCTGTAAATTATAAAAGACCTCTGTTTTTCAGTTGTTTTGGTGAAATATCTTAGTGAGACATTATGATATGGAAATGACTCTTCTGCATCCTTCCCTAAGTACCCTACCTACAATGAGTTTTCCTGAATTTCTAAAGCAGTGGTTTTCAAATTTTCAAAGCAGTCAAAATCTCCTGGAGGGCTGGTAAAAACAGATTGGGCCCAGTGGCTCACGCCTGTAATCCTAGCACTGTGAGAGTCCAAAGCACACAGATCATGAGGTTAGGAGATCGAGACCATCCTGGCCAACATGGTAAAACCCCATCTCTACTAAAATAAAATATAAAAAAAAAATTAGCCAGGCGTGGTGGTGTGCACCTGTAGTCTCAGCTACTTGGGAGGCTGAGGCATGGGAATTGCTTGAACCCGGGAGGCAGAGATAGCAGTGAGCTGAGATCACGCCACTGAACTCCAGCCTGGCAACAGAGCGAGACTCCATCTCAAACAAACAAACAAACAAAGAACAGATTGCTGGGTTCCAGTCCTAGAATCCTAGAATCTGTTAGATGGAGACTGAGAATTTGTATTTCTGAAACACTCTCAGTAGTCCAGGCATCATCTTTTAAAATCATTGTTCTAAAGTTATGCTGTCCAACAAGGTAGCCACCAGCCACACATTGCTGCTGAATACCAGAAATGTGGCTGGTCTGAATTAAGATGTGCCATAAGTGTCAAATATATACTGCATTTCTAAGACTTTGCACAAAACTAAATGCAATATACCATTTTAATAATTTTGATATGGTTACTTGTTGAAATAACATTTCTGACATTTTGAGTTTAGAATATATTGTTAAAATTAATCTCAGCTGTTTCTTTTTACTTTTTAATATGGCTATTAGAAACTTTAGAATTACATATATGGCTCATATTTCTACCACATAAGCACTGATAAAGAGGATCACACACAGGCTAAGGGTGGAATATCAGCAATATAAAATTGAGGAGCAGAAATAGATTTGAAGTGTGAAATTAAATCTGATTACCTAAGTATTTATTGACTATTCCAAAATTCTAGGGAAACATATCTCAGAATCATGGCAGTGGGTAAGAACTGGGGAGAAGCTGATATAAAACAATTCAGAGGAAAGTGGGAATCAAGGAGACAAAACCCTGATAAACTTAATTCAGGCCAACAACATTTGGTAGAATCCAGTGTCTTGTAGAGAGTCAAAACCTGGTTTTCTGTTTGTCCAGTCTTACAGATGCTACCAGCATATGAGATAGAGCTCTAATTATACACTGAATTCTACTTTTATGTATACAATTTGTTTCATCAGGGAGATTGCCAACTTTTCAAGGGCAAGAACTAAATCTGTATTTTACATGATTTGGGGCACCTAGCATTGCATTAATCTATATTATATGAATAAGTATAATAAATGAATAAATTTATTTTAAATATTTTATACTCCCTTAAACCAAGGACAAAATCATGCCTAGATTTTGTGGGAATAACATCATAAGCAGTGCAACATTTTTTAAAGTGTTGTTGAACAAATTTTATGAGTAATCTTTAGCTCTAATAGTTTAGAGAGATGTGTATGCAATCTATCGTTGGATATTCACCTCAACAAAAAACTAATGCTTTAGAGACACTAAGGCCAGGCTTGGTGGCCCACACTTGAAGCCTAGCACTTTGGGAGGTGGGTGGATTGCTTGAGCCTAGGAGTTCAAGACCAGCCTGGGTAATATGGCAAAACCCAGCGAAACTCTTTCTCCACGGAAAAAAAAAAAAAAAAAAAAAAAAAATTGCCAGGTGTGGAGGCTGAGGTGGGAGGATCACCTGAGCCTGGGGAGGTCAAGGCTTCAGTGAACCATGATTGTGCCACTGCACTCCAGCCTGGGTGACAGAGTAAGACTCCATCTCAAAAAAAAAAAAAAAAAAAAAGCAGACACTGAGAAATCTGTGAAACATTATCTTATTGAACACTTTATAGGGATATGGCCCTAATTTTCCTTATAATTCTGCCACTAGACATTCTCACTTGAGGTCCCACTTCTTCATACTATTGCACTGGGGATTAAGTTTCAATATGAATTTTGCAGGGGACACAAACATTTAAACTACAGCAACCAGTAACTGACAGACCCAAGAGGCAGTTTGGCCAGTACAGCAAGAAGATTGACAGAAGAAGGAGTGGAAGGGAGCAAAGCTCTGTTCAAGGACTGTGTTTCCAGCAACTGCCTTTGTAACTGTCCTTAAAGGTGCTTGAAAATGACTCGAATAACATGTTTTTTTTGTTGTTGTTGTAAAGCCTATACAGTTACCTTTGTAGAAAAATAATTCAGCTCCTTTTATTACAGCACAGTCTAAAATGATTCTGAAGGCAAATATTTAAAGTAAAAATATGATGTTTGCTGTAGCCCTAAATCATAAATAACAATTGTTCCCTCTTCTAAATTGATTTAGGAATCTCTATGATAAGGTTTTTACTCTAGCTGAACTTTACCCCCAAATTCCCGTTTGCCCTATAGATAGAGGAGGACTGAATTATTATTTTTGTTTGTTTGTTTTGAGCACTCTGTAGGGTTTTATGGCTTGGCTATGTGTAGGCATACAATGCAGCTGCACTCCTTTGGGAAGAACTCTGTAAGTAAAAGGCACTGTTGGTATTTTTTTTTGTTTTGTTTTATTATTCTGCATTGTTATTCCCCGAGCCTAAGCATGGAGTTTTCTCTGCTGATGCAGAACCAGAATGTACTGTTCCCACAAAGTCATTTAACAAAGATATGCTTCAGTAGGAGGGTCAAGATACAACCCCTACCATATTCTTGAGTTGGAGAATCCAGCTCAGGATAAATCACTCTCTTTTAATTTCATAAATATTAATTCCATCAGGAGGAATTTATCCAAGTCAAAGTATGTTACTCCTGTAAGTGACAGGGCAGGGTTAGCTGCCTCAAATCCCGAGGGTCCTACCCCATCAAGGGATAGTGTTACATCTCATTGATGTAATTTTTTTTTTCTTTCTTGGATGTACAGTGAGTAGCTATGAGGAACCTATTCACTTAACATAATATTAGCATTCATTAAGATTTTTTTTTTGCTGTGTGTGACTAAAGCACCATTGAACAAATGTAGTTCCTGAAATGAGATGTGACTATGCCAGCCCCAAGAAAAATCCTAGGCATGGAAATGGAGGGGGAAAACTGTCAAGTCGACATGGAAAATCTCTCTCATTACTTTACTATAAGAATCGTAATTAGTCCCAAAGGTTTTACTCGCTCATTTTAAAGCAAAATCAGGTAGATCAGACATGGAAATGTATGTCAATCAATCTCTGCTAGAGTCAGTCAGCTGTGGCCACCCTACTCACACATGGCTTGACCCCCTATGTTTGCAGTTGTAAGTTGGTTAGGATTTTGCTCAATTCTAAGTTGTAAATATGTAAGTGGAATTGTGCCGATAAATGAGCTTTTCTAATTGAGTTCATCCTTGTAAATTAATAAAAATTCCTGCCAATCAAACAAGTGCATGTTTGCAGGAATATTATCAGTAGGTAATGGAGATAATTAATACTTCATGACATCAAGGTCTGAAATTAAAATCAAATCTGAGACTTAACTGCAATTATTAAATCTGAGGAAAATTATCTTTCAGATGACAAGTGTCACAACCTTCAGCACCTGAATTAATAACAGGGAACAAGCCTCCAAAAACACAGTGCACACTTCTTTTTTCCTATGTTGCAATAATTACTATTTCATGACATCAAGGAAGTATATCTGGCTCAAGATAATATTGCAGGTCAGTAAAGTATCATTGCAGCAAAACCCACAAATTTCAGGCAACTTACCTAGTAAGAAAATACAATTGAAAGAGTATAGAAGTGGGAGATAGGACCCAGGTTATAGTCCTGACTCCTAGAAGACCTGGGTTCTAACCCAGAATCCTGCAGGTATTTTTCTGCTTTTACCTTAGCCAAGCAAATCATTTCACCTAACTGAACCTTAGTTCTTTCATGATCTGAAACTAATTTTTGCTCTGATTACAAGCTTCATGTGAAGAATAGGAATTTTTTGGAGTAATTTGTTTTCATTTATTCATTCATTTTTCCAATATGTATTGAGTGCCAACACTTATGTGGAGTCTTAGGAAAGCTGAGACTAGAAAAGAAAAGGTACAGTCACTGGTTTCAAAGGACCGCACAACTTGTTAAGTTGTGAAGTGTTCTGAGACAGGGCTAAGCTTGGGGGTGATGGGGGGGCCTGTCTGATATGGCAGAGCTGTGGGTGTAGGTTGTTGTTAGGGAGACTTCCTGAAGACGGCAATGCTGGGAGAAAATCTCGGAGGGCAGGCATCTTTTTATAGATGAATGAACATTCAAGGGAAAAAGTTAGCAGTTCATAAACCATTTGTTTCTACTGTAACTAGATTGGAGTGGTTGATTCCCAGGGAATAGTTATTAATATGTGACTATCATAGGTACATGATAAAAACAAAATGCTATTTCCCAAACCACAGCTCATTGCAAAAGTGGAGTAGTATGGCATGTAAGAAAGAAAAAAAAAATGTAACTTGCCTGAAGATACCTAACTAGAAAGTGGTAGAGCCAAGACTTGAGCCATTTAGGTTAATCGGTATAGGTACAACCTCAATTTAATTTAGTTATTTATGTATTTATTTATTTATAATTCTTTTTATTATCCAGGGATTGCTGAGATTAGGCCAGCAAGGGCCATTTCTCATAGGGTCAGGACCCCACTAGACTTGAATGAGGACAGATTACAGACCCAGAAAGGAAGTCCAACACTCAGCAGGCAATGGACTCATGGGGACAAGGCCAGTTTGTAGGGGGTGAGGGGAGAAAGGTCATGTCAGGAGCCCACTGGATCCCAGACTGAAGCCTGAAGGATAATCGCATACTCTACCTTGAAGTCTCTATGTCTGCTTGGACTGTGGCATCCCTCATCAGGAAGGATGCAGGGAACTTTTAGGACCCTTCTTCAGCACCAAGGACAGTATCTGTCCTATGGAATGTGCTATCCACACTCAAATATATTAAACATCACCCCTAAGAACAATGATATTTCCCATTTTCTTAGTTTGTTCCTGCTGCAGTAACAAAATATCTTAGACTGGGCAATTTATGAATAATGGAAATATATTTCTCACAGTTCTGGGGGCTTGGAAGTCTAAGATCAAGGTGCCAACAGAGGGGAAATGGAAGGGCAAATAGGGACTAGCTAGTTCCCTGGAGCTCTTTTATAAGGACACTAATTGCATTCATGAAGGCTCCTCCCCCATGATTTAATCACTTGGTGAAGTCCCCACCTCTTAATAACATTGCATTGGAAATTAAACTTCAACATAGATTTTGATCATAGCATTCAGGCCCTGCGGGACAGTTTCCCCTGCCCCAGGTTCCACTTGGTGCTCATATATATGTACATTCTCCTCTCATTTCAGATATGACTTATGGGGAACAGCTGGAAAAGACAAGATTCAAGCTCCATGCAGACACAGCCTGTGCCCTTTTTCCCAGCACACACTACTATCTCACTCTCTTACCTGATTAGATCCTCTATATGTAACTCTCTAGCCGAGAGACACATGAGATGTTCAAATCATGTTAGGGTAAAAAGTGTTCAGGTAAACAATTTCTTTTAACCTTACCTATCAGAGGAGCTTGCCATTGGCTATATCATTTCTTCTGATCCTGTCAGATGCCAGAAGTCTAATTTGGGACAGACAGTTAGTGCTCTGGAAGGGATAGTTTCTACAAAGGTAGTACAATCATTTGACTAAACACAAGGGTTTGTCAGAAAGACCCAGGATTGAGTCCCATCTCAGCTTCTTCATAAATTAATGACCTCATGTAAGATAATTTTATCTCTTCAAGACTCAGTTGCTTCAACTTTATAATGTAACATTATAAGCATCTAACACATAAGGTTGCTATGTGGGTTAAATGTGATTGTGCACATTAAATGCTTAGAAATACCTTGGTAAAAATAATTGCTTCATAAATCTGTCATCATTAATTATTGCCTTTGTAGTATATTGTACCCAACTCTCAGAAAACAAGTGTGCTAAGTCCTAGCATGTAACCTTGAAAACCAGAGGCAAAGCTGTGGAATATCATGATTTGTTGGTCCATTTGGCCTGCGGTTACAAAATGCCACAAACTGGGTAGCTTATACACAAAAAATATTACTTCTCACAGTTCTGGAATCTTGGAAAATCCAAGATCAGGGTGCCAGCAGATTTTGTTTCTAGGGAGGGCCGTTTTTCTGGTTGATAGACACTGTCTTCTGTGTGTCCTCACAAGATGGAAGAGACAAGGAAACTCTTTGGAGACTCTTTCATAAAAGCAGCAATCTTATTCATCAAGGCTCTGTTCTCATGACTTAATCATACAAAGGCCCCACCTCTTAATGCCATCATCTTAGGGTTTAGGATTCAAACGTACAATTTTTTGGGGGGGATGGGTATAAACATTCAGATCATTTTCCATGAGAATGTCAGAAATAGTGTGAGGTTGGCATGAGAGAGACTTGGGTTGGAGGTGTATGTTAGGCCATTCTTGCATTGCTATAAAGAAATACCTGGTTGAGGGCAGCAGCTCATGGTTGTAGTCCCAGCACTTTGGGAGGCTGTGGCAGGTGGATCACTTGAGCTCAGGAGTTCAAGACCAGTCTGGGCAACAAAGTGAGACCCTGTCTCTAGAAAAAATACAAAACTTAGCTGGCCATGGTGGTGTGCTCCTGTAGTCCCCAGCTACTCAGGAGTCTGAGGTAGGAGGACGACTTGAGCCTGGGAGGCAGATGTTTCAGTGAGCCAAGACTGTGCCACTATACTCCAGCCTGGGCGACAGAGCCAAACCCTGTCTCAAAAAAAAAAAAAAAAAAAAAAAAAAAAGAAAAGAAAAAAAAACGAAAATACCTGAGACTGGGTAATTTATAAAGAAAATAGGTTTACTCGGCTCACAGTAGAAGGGGAAGCAGAAGCAGGCACATCACTTGGTGAAAGCAGGAACAAGGCAGGGGAGAAGGCGGCGTGTCATACACTTTTAAATAACCAGATCTCGTGAGACCTCACTATCACAAACACAGAAACAAGTTATGAGGGATTCACCCCATGACAAAAACACCTCCCACCATGCTCCACCTCCAGCATTGGGGATTATAATTCAATATGAGATGTGGGCAGGGACAAATATCCAAACTACATCAGCTGCTTACCCCACAGTTAGCCACTTCTGCTTACTGAAGAGTGGCTGTTTCCACAGACACTATAAAAGCATTAGGACCAATGCTAAAACCCGAGTCTCATGAAATCCCTGCAGGAGAGAAGATTTGGAATGTACTTGTAAAGAGGCAAATATATGCTGCAGTTGAAAGTAGCTAAATTTCCAGACCATATCTGGTCTCCTGAGAATTTGGCATGTATTATGATATCTAGAGAAACTATTTTTTGAGTAACCCTCCAATCACCAAAATTTCATTGGACCCTGTGTAAACTTTGGAAGGCCTAGTAGGTCGTATATCCAATTTTTCTGCTCCAGAGAGAGGGTTCTGAAGACGGCTGCCTCTCCTTGGAAGAATGTTTATTTCCCGTCTTATCCTCCAGGTGAAGGCATATGTTTCTGCGATGTGTTGATTGCAGCAAGGTGCAGCTTAGAGGGGAATGTGGATGTACTTGTGTTTGCCAGGAAATTAAATAAGAGCAATGATACATAGCCAATGTGCACCCATAAATTTCAAAAAAAAAAATTCCACTGTGGCACAGGGACAGAAGTAGCTGATATATTGGAAGGGAAAGGCACTGATTCTTGTGCAAAATGAGAGAAATAAAATTTTCCTGCATTATCTTGTCCCTTTCTTAATTGCCTACCAGGATACCTTCATCAACTAGCTTCCCTAGGCCCACACTTTCTACTTGCTTGCATTTGGATACAAAACTGGCTGTGTTTTAAGCATAAAACACAGTGCTTGTGCTATCACACCGGACACAGGAAATGGATAAAAATCTTTACTTGTCAGTTTCTAGATACAATGCACTTCACTTTTCAAAGCTGGAAAATAGGCTACAAACACCAACCAAGGTACAATAAATGTGGGGATCAGCAGCATCCACAGGAGATATATGTGCTGCTTAGCAGCCTCATGCTACTCCCTAGGGGATTTGCGCAGCTTTGGGGTGGGTGATAGGAAGGAAGGTTGGCTGGCCACACAGATACTACCATCTTGGCAGCAGGCTCAGTCCCCAGATGCCAGACTTAGAATCAGTTGCTAAGAGAAGAGCTGACTCCAGCTCCTTTAAACCTTAAAGGTCTGAGAGGAAGGCAGTTTGGGAGAATGTGAAATAATCAGTGAGTGAGACACACTTGATGGAGAAAAGAAGATGAAGGCCACACAAAGAAGGCACACATGAAGACCATAACATCCCCTCCAGACACAAAATATAGAAGTTGATAATGGTCCCAAACCAGTGTGCCAAGAGGAAGAAGAATGATAATTGACTTTAAATCCAATGATTCCCAAAGTGGCAGAAGGAGCACTTCCTTCTGCATGTGCTTTAAAAGGCCCTATTCCTTCTCCTGCCAGCCTGCCTCACCATGAAAATGGTGTGCAGTAAGAGCTTGGCATGTAGGACCAGAAACATATGGACTTGATTCCTAGTTCTGATACGTACTGTGTAATTTTTGGCAAATTATTAAACTTCACTTAGCCTCAGTTTTTTAATCTGTAATTTGGGAATAATAATAACATCAACCTCCCATAGTTATTGCAATGATTGAATTTGATATTGAATGTTAACAACTTAGTATAGTGCCTGCCATATATTAAGCGTCCAATAAGTGTTAAGCACCATTATCAGCTTTTACTGACATTGCACAGAAGCAGTTGTGTATCCATAGCATTGCAGGAGACTTTGTTTAATAGTTTAGCTTTCAAGGTCAAGGAAAAGTCAGTAACTTTACTCAAAACCATATAACTAGTCAAAATTTTTAAAGCTTTTACAAAGAATTTTTTTAAAAGATCATCTTTCATCATTATTTTGTAGTTTTTAGTATATAGATTCTTCACATATTTTGTTAGATTTATACCTACTTTATTTTTTGGTGCAACTATAAGTGGTATTTTTAAATGAATTCCATTTGCTTGTTGCTCATATATAAAAATAAAATGGATTGTTTTATGTTATGATGTAATCTTGCCAGACTCATATATTAGTTCAAGTAGATACTTTTGTGGACTATTTGGATTTTTATCTGAAGACAATTATATTTTCTGTGGATATTTGTATGTCTTTTACTTATTTTTCTTTATTGATTGCACTGGCTAGGTCTTCCAGTAAAATGTTGAATAGGATTAGTGACAGAGAAAATCATTCTGGCATTAGGGGATGAAGCACTAGGGGATGAAGCATTAGGGGATGAAGCACTTATTCTTTCATATTATGCACAATGTTAGCTATGGATTTTGGGTACTTTATCTAAATCAGTTCATAGAATTCCCTTTTTTAAAAATTTCAACTTTTATTTTAGATGCGTTGGGTACATGTGCAGATTTGTTACTTGAAAATATTGCATTACTGGGTGCGTTCTCAAAAGAATTTCCCTTCTGTTTACAGTATTCTTAATTTTTTGTCCTGAATGAATGTTTAACTTTTTAAAATTTTTTGTATCTATTGAGATGATTATATGATTTTTATTTTTGTTAATATAAATTATATTGATGGATTCTCAGAAGATCATTTTTATATAAAAATGATGGAGACATAATTTTGGTGGGATGATTTTCTTTCAAGGATAGACATTCTGATTTAGAGAACTTTAGTAGAGAAATTAGGGAATGGTTGTTTCATCAATGGTGAATTTAATCAATGGACATCTCTTGTAGTTCCATGCCTGTTTCTGAGCTCAGAGAGAACTTTTAGATTTGCTTAGAGTATTCCATGAGAGACTGCCCCCTTCCATTACTTTTTAAAATAAACTTATTTCAATGTAGGTTATTTTTATTTTCTAATTTGGAAATCAAGCATGATGTAATCCCCCTCAAAGGTGTAACAGTGCTCTAATCAGCCATAGGGAGAAGATCCTTACAGAGACCAGCCTGTTCCATCGTAGATGGTGACTGGGTAAGCTGCAGGGATGGAGGGGCCAGCATGATCAAGGCACAGAAATTATCACATAATTTGCTTGAAAGATCCTGAAACAGAGAAAGTGGAGGGGAGAAAAGATGGATAAAATGAGTTCATACCCAGATATTGCTTTCAGAACGTTCCAGCCTTCAGTGAAAATGTAATGTGTAGGAGCTTCCACCTGTGCATTAGTAAAAGACTGATTTGTGTGGTCTTCATTTTTACAAAGGAATGTACTTTTTGTTCCATAAAACAGTAATTGTTCTGCCTAAGTGACTTATACATTTAAGTTATACATTTATTTCATCATTCAAGTTTCACTTATGTTCGGTGTTAATATGTCCTTCTAGTGCTATTAATCTTGGTTCTTTTGCTACTGTTCATTTCATCTCACATTCCTGTAGCCATAGCTTCCCCATGAAATGAGGTTTTTTTAAAAAAAAATAAATAAATTGTTTTAGAAAACAAAAATAAGCTCAAATTCTTTCCCCATTTAATTTTCTCCCCTGCAGTCTGGTGGCAAAAGAAACACTCCCAGCCCGGTCTCTAGCAGACAGCCTGCTTCTCATGTTCCATATGAAGGAAGCCATGTATTAAATTGGGATGAGCCCTTGCATTTCATCACAGAAAGTGAGTGTTGGCTTGAAATGGAGGATCGGCTCATGTGGGTATGAGGTGGTGGTTGGGATCATAAACTGCTGCTCCTGGGCAAAGGACCGAATTATTAAAACTGTTGTTTATGGTCCTTATCATTTACAAACAGGTGAACACAGAAAAAGGACTTTCAATTTCCCTAAATTAATTTTCAGCGGAGGGTTCTCTTGTGTTAAAAAGATAAGAAACTTGTTTGGAATTATAGTACAAGAAGTTTACAGCTGTCTAAAGGACCTGCAAGTCTAAGGTTATCTAGCAAATATGGATAAAATGGCATTTGCCAGAATAACTGTTCCTCTTTATAACACTTTTGAGAAATTGAAATGACTTAGAGGAAAATAATGCCTTAATTCCTGATCCCATCCTGTGAACAATTAACGGGGTAAATTCAGTGAGGGCTGTTCTCAGGTGTTAATTGTTGGGAAAAGAGGTAGTCAGGATATTGATGCACTGGTAAGCCCAAACTGAGTGCCATTATTGTTGCTTAACATTAAGAAGCCCTTCCCCAAAGCCGGTATTACTAAGGGCTTCTGAGCATTTCAATGTGAAGAGGTACCAGCTTGTGCCCTCTGTCCTGACTGATACTACCACCTACTTCACCCCTAAGCCTCTCTATCCATGCATACTCATTTCCATACGACCCCATTTATACACCTCTTCCAACAACCCTTTACATACATTCACCAACATACATGCATACTTACCGCTTGAAAGTATATAATAATAACAATACATATTTACCTCTTGTAAGTATATAATAATAACAATAGTAAATAGCATAATATTAGTAACTTGTATTTATTGGGTGCTTACAATGTCCAAGCAACTTCCCAAGCATTTTATATTACATTAGCCCACTTGTACCTCACAAAAATCTTATTTAATAGGTATAATTACAATAACTCCATCTATTCCACCAGTGAGAAAGTTGAATTTTCCAGGTTGGATAACTCTCAAATTCCCAACAATAGCAGAGCAAGCACTCCAAAGTATAATATCTCTGATCCCAAAGTCCATGCATTTAACCATTCCATATTACCTGATACATCAACTAATTCAACAGCTATTTATTGATTAACAGTGTGCCAAGCACCATGCTATTTGACTTCTCAACTATCTGTACTTATAATCATAAACACATTCCTCAAACCCCTTCAGACACAGCCATGTATATTTGTAAATGGAAATTTAGTTCCACTTGTATACTATCAGTAACATTGGAGCAGGCTCCCTCTGAGAGTTAACTCTTGGTTCTTGTCTTTCAATATTTAAGGTAGTGTGTATTTGTTCATTCTTCCATTTATTCATCAATTGTTCCATGAAAAATTATTCCAAGACAAACTCAAGTCTCACCTCAGCATTGGGCTTCTCCTTAGTATCCAAACCTACAGAAATTTCTCCCACATTTGGCACTTCGCTGTTTCACTTAGCAATCACCAGTTTGAGCCATATGTCTTTTTGCTCACGCTAAGTTGTAACATTTTATAGAATATATTTTAATATCCTGCTTGAGTATAAAACTAGATACTCAGTTTAAGCTTGGCAAATTTTTCTTAAACGATCAGATGATTAAATAAGTAACCTAAAGATTGACTTAAAACCACAATGATGACAACTGCAAATAAAAAACAGCAATAATTTTTTTAAAAATATCTGAAAACTTTTGGACTCATATATCAAAACCAAAAGAATAATTCCAACAAAAGCATAAGAAATCATAAAGGGTTCAGGGGAGAATAAAGTCAATAATTCTACTTTTATATTAGAAAAAAATCTCCTCTAACTGGAGGCTGCAGCTGGGGCTGAGAAGAAAAGCCACTTAGTCCTTGTTACATGAAGTGAAGTGAAACAGCTATGCTTCATATCAGCCACCTTCTCTGGGCTCCTGGAAGGCCAGAATTGGGCCCAGAGATGACAATTAATTCTTTAAAGAGCAGGAGCCCTCACAACACTCTGGGGATAGGTCTGTCTGGACGATATGTCCAGGATCCTTTTGTGCAGGACATAGGATTAACATTCATTAAATAATTTTCGACTATTTTACTCTCATTATGTATAGCAAGGGCTTAGGTTAGCAGGGATTAAAGAAAGAATTATTCTAAAGCAAGAAGCTTCAGCCTCGAAGCATAAAAATAGAGAGAAACTGGTTAAAAAAACAATGTAGGATTAGATTATGAACTTGTTCACTGAACAGTTACATGGCAATTTGCTAAGGTAATTATTACCATTAATTCGAGAGCCAATAATTATCATAGCAGTTCTACCATTTCATCTCTCATTTATTCTGAAATCCTGGAAGTGTGTTTTAGGGTTTGTTTTTTTTTTTTTTTCCAGATACTCGGTTTGCTTGGCTGATCTAAGAGCTTCTGTCCTAATAAGTTTTACAATCTTAGGCATTTTTTTGGTGGGAACTGAATACATCTCAGATAGCCTTCTTACATTAGTGAAACAATGCAATAAGAATCAAGAGGTAATTTATCTTGGTCACCCTTCCTTCTACAGAGCACTCCAGCCTGGAGGTTAATAGAAAAGGAGGCTGTGGCTGCCATCTTGAATCTCATTCTGTTTCAATTTTTCTGGTCACAAACACCATGCTTTTTCTAGCCAAGAGGGGTGAACGGTAGCATATAACTCTCCCCTTGATGCCTTTCCCTGAGGCCCTTCAGTCTTTGGAGTGCAGGACTTAGTGCTAGTTTAATTGAACTGCTGTGCTTGGCTTCTTCTCTGAAAAGAAAAGATATACAGTCCCTCTGGTGACTTGTGGCAACAGATTTCAAACTCAGCTGGATTTAACTCTGTGAATTAAAAATAGCGCTTGAGATTGGGAGCCCAGTGTAAAGAGCAACTTTATTTACTGGCACGTAAGTCAGCACTATCTAAAGTGTGCACAAAAGTTCTGGTTTCTCTTCTGCTTGGCCACCACAAATGTGCATTGCTCAATTATTTCTTTTAGACTACAATAATGGCTGGTTTGGGCACGGATACCACATTGTATCTTGGTGGAGTATCTAACAAATCTATACTCATGACCCTAAGATGCCAGTATCTGTAGTTCAGAGAAGATATTAGTTTCATAGTCTTGAAAAAAATAGTTACCGGCACGAAGACATGTGTCCTAGGATAGGTCAGGATGGGCTGATTTAAATCCAAATAACCTAATTGTATTGATAATGGAAGAAGAGCTAAAATCTAAGGCTTATAAAATGTGGAACTACAGAATACCATAAAAATCATCTAATGCAACTACTTGCATATAAAGATGAAGAAACTCAGACTGAGAGGGTTAAGTGACTCTTCAATTGCTCAGCTAATTGGGGGAAAGATGAAGCCAATATTCAAAAGTTTTCAGATCTTCCATGTTCAAAGTATTTTTCCCTCTGCTACACAACACTGTCTCGAAGCACTTGGTAAGCCCTGAAGCCTATTCCCTATTTATACTGCACAGGAGAAGAATGAGGTACATAGGGCTTCGTAAAGCCCTTTGAAAACAGGATGCTAGACTGGACCAAAAATGACAAATAGCAGACAAACAGCACATGTTTCTTCCTGTATTTAGTCTGGAAATCCAGATTTTCCCGAGCTTATGCTTGGGCTAGGCTAGGGATAGAACCAGCTAGCTATTGATAGGCATCAGGACCCAAAGTTTCTATAGGTCTGAATATGAGGCAGGTAAACAGAGAAAATCTCCCAGTAAACAAAGACAAAAGAAGGCTATCCAGGCCACAGGGAGAACAAATGTCAGAGAATAGACTTATTGATCTGCATAGGGATTTCTGTTAGCTGATCTCTGATAGGAGGTGTTGGGCTTTTAATTCATTATTGCTCTTTTCTGCCCAGGACTGAAAGACCAGCAAGGAGGACACTGCAAGGCAGAGCCTTAACCTGACATATATTATTTTTTTCTCTAGCTAGTTTGTGGCAATGGAATCTAACCACTTATTAAGTCTCCTAATGTCTGCCACACCCTGTGCTTGGTGACAGGTATACAGAAATGAATGGACCACATTCCCTGCCTGTAAAGAAGAGACAGACATGGAAGCAGAAAACTTCAGAGCAATGTAGTACCATGATAGAAGTAGGATTCCATTCTGAAGAATCAGCTCACAGGGACTCAGTATGGGAGACCAGATATCTCATTCCTGACTGCAACTGAAGCTACCAGGTGAGGGAATGGAGTGTTCCCAGAGTTTTAAGTAGGAAGAACCTGTGTTCAGTGATAAGTGAATATAACTGAGGAGATAGGGCTATTGTTACAGAAGGTCAAGTGGTCTTTCCTTCATAGACACAAGCAGTAGAATGAGAGTTCATTGGTCATGGTCATCTCCTACTCTGAGTTTAGTTTATGCTCCAGTAACTAGATCTGGAGCTAGCAGGATTCTGTCACCGAAACAAATCAACAGCTATTGTAAAAGCTAAGGAGACAAGGCATAGAATGCTGAGGTCCTCCTCCTCCTCCACAGGGGAACAAAAATAAGAAAGGGACCCTGGTATGCTGGAAGCAGTATATCTGTCAGTCATAAATGGACATCAAACAGATTTGCTTCATTGTTTGTGTTTTTAGTCTATGTTTAAAAATAGGCTTGGTGCCTGCAAAGGAAGACAGCTCAGTTTTATGGACACTTGCTTCTATTATGAGCTGTTACTCTGCTTTCACCTGGGCCCTCTCTTGGCCAGTTCTTCTCCATGTCTTGCAGGTGGTATCCCCTAGGCTCTGTATAATGAGTTATTATGAGTTATGACCCTTCTTGGGTGGAGCTTTTAAAGATGATCAATAGAACCTAATTCTGCTTTTTGAACCTGGGCAAATGAATTTCGTTGGACCTTAGTTCCTTCCTATGAGATCACCTGAGGACATGGCAGATGGAGATATCCCTTCCAAGGAAGCTGAAAAGAAACACTGATTCAAAGACAGCATCTAATTTTATGATGACAAGGAATCAGCCTAACATCAGTGCAGCATGAGAGCGGGAAGGAAGAGAAAAGAAGTAGCAAACATGCCATGCATCCTGAAGCTTCTCGTATATTCAGGCACAGTCAAGCAGGAAAAATGAAGAAGCTGAATGCCTCCTCACGGGCCTTGGGCACCATAGAGAGCATGAAAGCATCATCATTATCCTGCTCTTCCTTGATAAAGATATGTCTCCAAAACAGAAGGGATAACTGAGCCTGGAAGCACAGCCTCTCCCCTGCTCAGGGAGTTCTATGTCTCAGAATGCACCTTGTTGATAAATGTCTGCTTTCTTGATATTCTGAGCCCACACAATTACTGGCCTGGCATTGCAGGGAGTCTGGCTGCCCGGCTAGACCCAAAATGACTAAGAAACATAGATCATTTAAAGCTGTTTTTCTCGAACAAAACCCCTCTGGTGATATCCACATTCTGGAGTCACAGTGCAGGCTCAAGGATACTGCCTTGTGGCTCTTGTACCTATTTCCTGGTACCTTGCACAGATACAAAAGACCTTTAACCTAATGCAAGCCCAGAGACATGGAATGCACCGATAGGCAAGTGCTGATGGAATAATCTTTGGAAAGCTGAATGCCTTTGCCACTGGTTTACTTAGTGTCCTTCCCAAGAAATGTGACCTGTGTGGCTGCTAGTTTTTATGTGATGATAGCCCTGCATGCCTTAATACAAGAGAAGATCCATATGTCAAACACCAACTCAGCATTTTTCTCCTTGTTGGTGTGCTGCTTCCTTCCATCCTTATTACACTCATTCTCCCAACATATCCTTTTTCAACTGTCCTCCATTATAGCCCTCTGCTCCCTTCTACCCACCTTCTGTTCCCGCCGTTCTCTGATGCACACCACCATCTTCTATCTCCTTTCATATAGAATCTTTACCTAATCTTAGCCTTCCCAGAACTAGTCCTCTTTGACATCTTCATTGCTACTACCAGCTGAATGTGATTTCTTTTACTCTCTATACTGGAATTCTAGTGCTGGAGATTGTACCCTTTCCAGTTCCAGGTTCAGTGAAATCACTCTGGTAGCTTGAGATCAGCCATGGTGGTGAAAGTGTAGTATTTACACCATGGACATTGCAAAGACTACAAATCAGAGCTGCTCCTGACCTCCACCCCCGGCCAGTTTTATGAAGAACAATGTTACAGGAAATTATATACAGGTGGCACTCAATACATTTTTACTGAATGAAACTTCACATGCTGAAGGTATTTCTTTTGTGGTCTCCACTAGACAAGATTTGATTTGTTGTTTGTTTGATTTTGAAGAAGAAAATATTTAGCAATTGTAGGCAAAATAATTTAATAGAATAAAAAGATCAAGAGTGAACCCTAGGGCTAAGAGCTGTGGCTCATGCCTCCAGCACTTTGGGAGGACAAGGCAGAAGGATCTCTTGAGCCCATGAGTTCAAAACAAGCCTGAGCAACATAGTGAGACCCTATCTGCACACACACACACACACACAAAATGCTGAGCATGGTGGCAAGCACCTATGGCCCCAGCCACATGGGAGGCTAAGGTGGGAGGACCACTTGAGCCCAGGAAGTCAAGGCTGCAGTGAGCTGTGATCATGCCACTGCACTCCAGCCTGGATGACACAGTGAGATTTTGTTTCAACAACTACAACAACAAAAGAGTGAGCCTTAATGTAAACTATGGTCCCTGAGTCATAATGATGTGCCAATGCAAGTTCTGCAGTTGTAACAAATGGTGTACACCCTGGTGGAGAATGTCAAAAAACATTTTTTCAGTTATTTCCATTTCAGAATAAAGTAATGATGAAGAGCATATTTTATACGAATGTTGCTTTGTATACAAACAAAACACACAAATTTCAACAGGAACCAAAACACCATTGCCTTCTGCAAAGCCAGCAGGCCTCCTGTTTCCCTCCAGCAGATAGGCTTGCCTCTCTTGCCAAGAACAGATTTCTGAACACAATTGCTAAAGTCACAAAATAACTGGGGCTTTTAATCTTTTCTTTTTTTCCAGAATGAGAATAGCCTTAAAAGAAATTTTTGATCCAAGATAACTATTTTCTTGGACCGTAATCTTATCCCTCATGCCACACGGCTATGAACTTCTTTTTGATGAATAAAAGGCTCCAGAGTCAGGGAAAGGTTTGGAGCAAATCTGGGAGACCGAGAATGTGTGGCTAAAAAATAGTCTTGATTCTTGAGATCCTTAGAGTGTGAAAGGAGTAGTCATGTGATCATTAACTTTTGGTTCTAAATACCCGCCAGCCTCTTATTTATGAACAGAGGCATATTAGAAAGTATTCACGCATGCAAACACACAAACAAAATCTGGCTCATTTAAGTAGCAAAAGGTATGAGACAACACACAAACAAAAGTCTGGAGAACCAGACTCAGAAAACAAGCAAGAATCAAGCAAAACAAGGTGACAGTGGACAGCTTAGGTCATGCCCCTGATAACTCATTTGTTAGAATCTCAACACTCCTACTGTCCTGTGGCTAATTCCTTAACTGCATTTGGATATTTCCATTGCTTCTTCCAGTCCTGGGCAGGAGCATTAACTTACCTGATCCCAGACCAGACCACACATTTTCCTGGGTTGGCTGACTGATGGGCCTTTTTAGCCTTCTTTAATAAGAAAGAGTCACTGCCTCCCACAAGAATTCCACTTTATGGAATGTATTAGTCTGCTCAGGCTATCATAAGAAAATACTATTAACTAGGTACCTTAAAGAACAAAAATTTATTTTCTCACCGTTTTGGAGAGTAAAAGTTCATGATCCAGGTGGTAGCAAATTCAGTTTCTGGTGAAGGTCTCCTCCCAGCTTGTAAATGACAGCTTTCTCCCTGTGTCAGCACAAGACCTTTCCTTGGTGCCTATGTGTGGAGGATATAGAGAATGAACTCTCTGAGGTCTCTTCTTATAATGGCATTAATCTCATGAGATCAGGGTCCTGCCCTTATGGCTTTATTTAACCTTGATTACTTTCTTAGAGGCCCCATCTCCAAATATTAATCACATGGGAGGTTAGGGCTTTAGCATATACATTTAGGGAAATGAAAATATTCAGTCCATAATAGGGAATGACTTCAAATAAGGAGGGTGTTCAAATCCCATGGAGCGAAAACAAAAATGAGAAATACACATGTAAATGCAAAAAGAAAGCAGATAGGGAGAAATAAAACAAGACAACTCTTGCTCTGCCATGCATTTGTCTTTCCAGGTAAAAAGAAACCCCGAAAATCATCCAAAGTTCAAAATTGCCATTGAGGTAGATTTTAAAGATAGCTAAACATCAAAAAACTACTGACTTGACTTTATAATTTTTTTTCCACTCACCCATATCTATTAGGTCAGGTAAAGTGGCCCAAGATCTGTTTTCAAAGTGGAAAAATATCTATATTTGCAACAAAATATTCCTGATTTTATCCTAACAAAACCAAACCAAAACTAAACCAACCCATGATTTGCTTATGCATGAAAACGACGTGGAATTCCACATTGATTTTCCCACTATATCATCAAAAGATGATGACTCTCATTTCAGAGTCGTAAAAAGTCATTTTGATATTCAAAAATCCACTACAGCCATTCTGTTAGTTGCTTGCCCCATATTCTTTCATATCTTTTGTCCTTTGTAACAGAAAACTTTTGCTTCTGATATCTATCTGTGGTTCACATGCCATGTGCCTCAGGTGCACAGGCCTGAGTGGTCTATGTTAATCATGGTCATCTCATTCCCCTCATCAGGGATGTGCTTGGAATGAGCATATGACATGACTCTCGTCAATGAAATTTGAAGTTAAGACTCCAAAGGCCTTCTTGGAAGATATAGAAAGAGTTCCATCCTCCCACTGGATATTATTACAATCAGATGAGACGCTTTTGTACCTACCTATACCCGCAATGTAATTAAAACCAGATATGATACTTGAAATTGCAGCAGTCACAATACTACCCAAATCTGAGGTCAGAACTTGGGAAAATTACCAGGTAACACAGAGATTCAGAGCCAAGTCCATGACCCGCTATGTACAGAGTCTACTACTGCGTCTGGATTTCTTGTTATTTGAGGCCACACTTTTCCCTGTTATGAAAGCCAATTTTCACTGGGATTTTATATTATTTTCTGTGAGTGGCTCCTGATAAAGCCACTTGAGAAAAAGTATATATTGGAGAAACTGAAAGGCCGCTCTATTCACAGCTTACATTACGGGTAAAAGCATGAGAGGAGCAGAGAGACAAGTGAATCACTTTGCTTTTAGGAAGGAGGTAAGAGCCTATCCTTACAAAAAGATCATCATAATTCTTTAGAAGTAGCACAACCCAATGAGCCAGCTGGCATATTCCTCCTTCCTTTTACAAAAAAAAAAAAAATACAAATACAAATAAAATAAAAGTTCACATCAGAGTCTAATTATCACATGCTCTAAAATGTGACATTCAAAGCAAAATGAGGCTTTAGTATTATTGTGAAGCTTACTTCATTTATCATGTGTATTCTAATACAAATATGTATGATCTTGATTTCTTAGCAATGGGAGCTGGGAAAGGTCTTTCCATCAGGGAAGTGTGCTTTAGAGAAAGAATAAATGAAATCAGTTTGTGGGTTTGATAGATAGCAGGTCCATTGAGAAAGGGTTAAGGCAATACAGTTACCATCATTGCCTGAAAACCATCTATCCTGCATGCTTCGTAAGGCACCAGAATCTTATAATCTTTAAATAACCCCACAACTTAGTATTCCTTGAACCCACTTTTCTAGGAAGAAATCTATTTTTCAACAAGATTAAGTACAATTTCCCAAGATCACACAGCTAGTAATGAACAGCATTGGAATATGAATTCAGGATACCTGACTTAAAACACCTATATTTTTATGTGTCTTGTTTCTAGGGCAAATAAGCCCAGTGAAAAGAATATTTAGAAAGACTTCATTTGGCCATCTTTTCTTTCATCTTCTCCTTTTCCTTCTTTTTTCATTTTTCTTCATTCTTTTTAACATATTTTGAGCAACTATGAAGGACATAAAGCTGACTCAGAACATATCCTGTTATTGCTGTCTACAAAAAGAAGCTAAGCCGTGAACACAAATAACTATAACTGAAAGTAGAAAGTGATAAACATTTTAGGAAAGACAAATGAAGGATGATGGAAGTTTAGAAATGACTAACTTCATAACAAAAAGTTTGCAGGTCAGGAATGCAGTAGAGTGGTTCTCTCTGAAGACAAGTGATCAAAAACGAATATTGCAATTAGCTGGGCATAGGTAAGATTTTAAATTTTGGAGATGACAAAATCTTTGGACAATAACCCAAGGAGCTGGACATATCTCAGGTTCTGGAAATAGTCTATTGTCTTGGTGTTCATGAGAGGGTCCTAAATATAACTTCAATTGCCCCAGGATATATAAGGCTGAATTTATATGAGCTGACTGACTAGAGGAGTCACCACTTTCTTCATTACACTGGGTGTAACTTCAATAACTGAGACACATATTCCTCAATTAAACTTCCACACATGCTCCCTAGGCCAAAGGTAGACAATGGCCTGCCATGGAGAATAAATATGGTTTTCCAAGACTCCTTCCATCTTCTATAGGAGGACATACTTCATGTGAACATTTTCCCCCATGGTAATATAGTGTGTGAGAGAGTGAAACACCTGTTTAGCTTTTTTGTGTATTAAGAAGCTACAGGGGGTAATAGTATGTCTATGTTAATAATTCTCGTGGGGACAGAAAGGTAATTTATTATGCTCCATAACTGAGATTGGAAGAGGACAAAGAAGACTTAAACACTTCAATCAAGATGACCTTCTCTTACCCCTGAAAAGTAAGTCTTCTTTTGTCTTCTTTCTACTCAGATAACTGTGACTAAATACTATTATATGAATAAAAGTATGGAATTTAAATAGGAGGGGATATTATAGTTAATATAGCTATATATCATCTGTGCTTTCTTGAAGCTCTTGCAACAACTATTTGTTCATTCAAAACAGTGTTTAAAAAACACCCTCAGGCTGCTTGTCCTATCTCATGTCATATGGCACCAACAGACACAGGTGATTCACTAGCTTTATAAATATAAGGGTCTCTCTAAAGTGATAGTTTCCATGTTTTCTCAAGACTGTCATAAATTTATGGACATAGACCAATTGAGATAATTTTACAGTCTGTACTTTAAGCAGAAAAATGAGTTATAAATATTCAAATCCAGATATCTAATAAGCAAATAATGTAAGCAATAAGGAAATTGCCAAAGATTCTCTATGTTGATTCCACTAAAAAAAAATCTAATTGATCCAACTTAGTCATAGACATTCTAGGGAAATAGAGGTAAAGATGAATAGAACATCGTTTCTCAGGGAAGTTACAGTTTACTGTAGAATATAAGACCATAGCTGAATTGGTGATGCAAGGCAAAATACAGTTAGTGCCATATGAGGGGCTTAGGTCACCTGTGCCTATGTGACAGAAATACATCACAAGTGCTATGTGTTTAGAAAAGAGAGAGTTCATGTTGATTTGGAGAATCAGGGAAGGCTTCATAAAGAGTTGATATTTTAGCTGCACCTGACGAAATGGACAGAAAGAACTTCAACACATGAAGATGGGGAGAAAGAATTTAGAATGTGTAAAACGAAGGCTGTGAATGAGCTCAGTCAGTCTTCAGTGAGACAGCAGAACAGTGAACAGAGCAAGAGCTGGTGTCAGACATAAATGCATTAATATCTTGGCTCTGTTGCTGTCTAACAATGGAATGGAACAAAGTTTACTTAATTTTTTTAAGCCTTAATTTTCCCATGTAAAAGGAGAATAATAAAACTAACCTTAATTGGTATATTTTGAAGATTAAATGAAATGATGTATGCAAGTATTTAGCACAGAATCTGGCCAATGAAGTGGCTTTTCTTATTTCTTCTCCTGTAGTCCCCTTCACTTTTCTCTGCTTAGCAAATACCATTCTCCCACCTCTAATAAGACCTTCAGCTCATATCTATTCATTCTTTTGTTCTACAAATATTTATTGAGCAATTTTTATATTATTTGCTTTCTTCTCCCTAACCTCTACTGCACTTATTTTCAACATAATCATTACCTAAAGAACAGAAAAGTGTTGTGTGGTCTGCCTTTCCTAGTTCTGAGAGTCACTGCAATCATGGGTTAGTGCTTACTAGTGACCTACCAAAGAGGCAGATGATAGTGATGGTCATGCATAAGCAAAAGAACTAGGGAAGGAAGCACACCCTGAAATGAGTGGCCACCCTCTATCCATTTTAGTGCTACCAGGCTAGAAGATTCCTGACTTAACCAGCTCTGAGCTAATGTAGACAAGAGATCCTGGCTGTGGGATTTACTTTCTCATTTTTATTTGAGACTTGAAAATACTGGCATAATCCAGCTTTGATTCCAGGAAAATCACACCGTGGCACAGTGTAAGGGTGTCATCAGGTGCTCACAGCCCAGTAACACTATTTGGAACAGAAGAAGGAATATAAATAAAAGAAACCAAGTGCATTAGCAACTCACTTTCCTCCATATGTTATCATAATCGCAGCTTTCCTTCTTTTCCACATGGCCTCAGACTCTCTAAAATGCAACATCTCATCATTTGTTTTTGTTTTTGTTTGTTTTCTAGTATATGTTACAGAGAAAGAAGAAAATGGGGTTCTTTTTACTACACAGAAGAAAGACACACGGTTGAAGGAGCAGGGAGTCAGTGAAAGTGTCTGATAAATAAAGCCACTGTCGAGCGGTCTCTGGGAGAACGCGTTATGCTGTGTGCAAAGTGAGCAGTGCCTGAGCCTATTTCACTGGGTCAATTTCCTTGGAACCAAGCCTTGAAAGCCATACACTGCAGATTATCATAAATACAGTTTTACTTCTGCTGTTTGTTTTGCTTCTTTTTTTAATCCCCTTTTTTCCCTACCAAAAACAGAAAAACAAAATCATACTTATATCTCATAGTTTCTCTGAGGCAAGGAGGAAGACAGTCATGTATTCCCACTTTTACAGGATCAAAGATGAGAAGACAGTCATTATTTGCCATTGGGCTGGAAACTACTTACTGGGAAGACCAATGACACCTTTACTACCTAGTCATTGTGTTTTCCTAACAGCCTTTAGAGAGGACCCCCCAAAAGCTAACAAATGTCCACATCCTTGTACAAATAAACAATTGATACATATAAAATGGAGATCGATGTATCAAGCAGAGCTATCTTCTCCTCTCCCTGTTGATTCTCCTTCCCTACGTTATCTGATTAAATCACTTGGATGACGTATTTAAGAAAAGAATCATTCCAAATAGTTTTCTTTGTCTTGCCTTTTATGTCTCCTAAATTCAGCCGTTACAGATTCATAGGTATTATAAAATATTTTCTTTAAAAGTCTAGATATTGTTGAAGAAGAAAGAAAAGCAAGAGTGTGAATTTAAATCATCAGCTTGCTTTCCTCCTAACTCTTTCAAAAGCACCATGTAGACAGAGTTTTGAATGGCTGGAGGAAAGAATATTACGGTTTGTGGGTTATTTTAGAGATTTTGGACTTGGATATGCCACTGGAGTCTAGGACTTCAGCCAAGAAAAAGAAGTGAGAGCATGCTTTCCCCTTGATAAACAAGGGTCAGACAGTAGAGAGAGAGAGAACATAAAGGAATACAGGGGGTGCCAAAATTCAACTTCTGCCTATCCAATGCAAGATATCCAACAGAATAGAACACTTTCAGAGAGTGGCAGCATTCTAATTATCATGTTTCTTTAGGATAATACTGTTTATTATTAACAAAGAAAGTATCTAGAAACACTTCTTAGCTAAGTTGATTCTTGACTAGAGCAGCCTCTTCCAGATTTCTAGTGCATTTTTTTTGGTTGTTGTTGCATTTTGCTTTATTATTATTACAATGTGCTTGGTTTGAAAGCATTTTTGTTTTCACATAGTTGATATTTTCAAATATCTCTCTGTGGAACTCCTCCCTCGAAATTTTACTCACCAGCATTGTATGATATAAGAAATGCTATCATCCTCCCAAAGCAGACACAGCTCTGAGCTAAAATGTGTTTTTCTCAGCCTTAGGTCATCGGGCTCAGTTGCATATTTTGTGTTCTCTGTCTTGTTCTTTTCTTTGCCCCCACTGACCTGAAGTTCATGTCTCCTTTTGTTTCTGGCATGTTGCTACTTAGCATGTCTTCAGTAAATAAAGATTTGGAGTATTACAGTTTTTTTTCTTTTCATACTGCTGCACTCAATGAGAACTTTCTGTTGCTTCTTTCTCCAATCAGAATGTCTTAAAGGCTACAGGTTAATCCTTCCTTCTTGTTAGATGCTTTTATTCAAGAGCATCCTGATTCTGGAAGATTCAGTTTTCAGTGGTTATTTTTAGTACTCAATTGATTCAAGCATCTTCCAAATTCTGAGAAAAAAAAAATCACTTCAACCAAGAGATCCTATCAATCACAGCATGGTTTGCATGCTTATTTAGCTGGTTAGTAATTAAAGGCAGCTAAAAATACCAGACATGCATGAATGGTGTGATTTTTATATCTTAGCTTCTTCCCAGAGAAGATGCAAGACCCATCAATCAAACAGTTGGTAGCTGAAGTCATTATCACTGAAATTAAGGCAATTATACACAAATGAATATTAATGAAGTATCTAGTCAAAATTAGGGTCAGTTTTTAACAGTTAGAAATTGTAGAGAATCTAGGTTCAGTGTTAGTCCATTATAAAATAACTTAAGAACACATTTTTCATATTAAACTGCCACTATAATTATGGGGACTCCATCACATCTACGTTGTTTCTTATTTTAAAGAGAAATAGTTTTATTCATGCCTTATAGGTTTTATTTTAATATTTCAAAATGGTCTAGAAATCTACATTTCATGTAGTGACATAACACCCCACTGAAAAATAAGTACTTTGGTCTTAGGCATTGTGATTTTATAACTTAAAAAATAATATTCACTGCAATTTACAGCAATGCCTTTATTTATAAAGTAAGGAGCATATACCAGAGGATCTCCATTACTTTTTCAGTCCTTACATTCTATTGTTAAGGATTTAAATGTGGAATAAGGATATGCCACCTTGGAAAGGCAAATACTAGTAAGGTAGTTTATCATTGGATCCTTTGCACGTTATGAAAATGTGAGAATGTAAAAGGTCTGAATTTTCTAGACATGCTTTCACATAATTAAAAGGTAGTAGAAGCTCCTCCAACAGCCTCCAAACATAAATATCATAGTCCACAACTCTAGGGACACTTCACATCAGGATCTATGTGAATTGCTCTTCTGGTGCTGTGCAGTGCACAGCTGTGCAGACATAGATGCTGGACCTCCATAGGGAAGAGGCATTTTATTAACTGTTCCACTTCATGCCACCCATTTAGTAAGCACATAGGGAAAAAAAGAGAGAAAGATGAAGAAAGAAAAAGAAAGCAAGGAAGCAAAAACGAAAACGAGAGAGGGGAGGAGGGAGAGAGGAAAGGAGGGACGGAGGGAATAAGAAAGGAAGGAGGAAGGAAGGAAGGAAGCAAGCAAGCAAGCACTGTTTTGTGACTAAGCGTTGGAAGTAGAAAAGATTTGAACCCAGTTAATCTTTGGGACAGCCATGCCTCCAGCAGCAAATCAACAAACGAGGCCATTAGATAGTCTCTGCAAGGAGCCAAACTCCAGGATCCACCTGTTACAAACACACAGGCCTTTGATGGCTGGCAAACAGGAATGAGACTAAGAGAAGGCAGACTGACCACACAAGGATTCCAAAAGCATAGGTCTGAAGGACAACAGGGCAAAGTGAAAATGATGAGGTGGGGTGGAGAAAAGACAGGAACAACAGGGAAGGCATCATAGTTATCCACAGTTGTATGGGAAGATGCAGTCATTCTGGCTTAATCCCACCGGCTCATTTCTTCAAATCATTGCTATTCTCCCAGAAATCCCAGCTGCGTGAGAAAGACAAGATCATCATAGAACCGTAAGCACTGAAATAAAAGAAAAGTGGCTGGCCTAGGGAATTTGAAAAATTGTCAAACATGGAAGAGAGAATATGGAGTAGATGCTCTCATGTTCCTCAGAGCCCTGTGCAATATTACAGAATGATTCACTGTCTTTGTGACAGTGTCACAGAGACATACTTCACCAAATAGGGTAAAGTATTTTATATCAGCTTGATAAAATCACAAATATGGGTATATTTAGGGGACATATGGGTATAATATGGGGATAACTGAAATTATCCTTTAATGGACACTATTCACTTCAATGCAGATTAACAACCCCTGCCAATTCTTACATATTTCCTCTTGCAGACTGCCATGGTTACCACTTGAGACCGTCACTACGACAGTTACTACTGTTACTACTTGAGACCCCCATTAGACTGAACGAAGGAGGACAAATGCAGAAATGAAAACTTAAGACAAAAGAAACTGTTTTAAAGGAAGGGTCCAGGGGAAGAAGTAGACAGCTCCCTGCTACCAGTGAGCAAAGGCAGTCCTGAGCTTCTATAGCCCTTCTTATTTATTGGGTAGAAAGAGCAGGGAGGAGGTGGTAAAGATTGGGCAGCTGCTTAATTGATCACAGGTTCATGTTATTGCTAACAGGCTTCAGATGTGCCTAATTACAAGAAACACTTGTGCCTGGGTCGTGACTGCCCTCAGCATTCCTTCTGGGTGGCAGACGCAGTTTGTCAGTTTGCCAACATCCTGCTTTCATGAGAACAGTTTGCGGTTTACTCATGTAGCCTCCAGTGGTATACTGAGTTGATCGTTACCCTCACTCTTTCGGCCTGCAAAAATTTCCCATTTTAATTCATTCATTTTCTCAATCTTGGGTGCTGTTTAGAATACTCCAAGGAGGTGAAACATTTGTGTAAGGCGTATATATACATATGTGTGTGTGTATATATATAGTAATATATAGTGTGTGTATGACTAAACATATATATACACACACACCTTAGTATATTACACCTCACTAGATTACACTTTGTAAATATTTCATTTTTTATAAATTTTTACAAATGGAAGATTTGTGGCAACACTGCATAGAGCAAATCTATTGGTGTCATTTTTCCAAGTGCATATCTGTGTCACATTTTGGTAAGTCTAGCAATATTTCAAATTTTCATTAGTATTATATCAGTTATGGTGATTTGTGATCAGTGATCTTTGATGTTACTAATCATTTTGGGGTGCCACAAACTGCTCCCATATGAGACAGGGAACTTAATAAATGTTAAGTGTGTTCTGACTAATCTGCCCAGCAGTTGTCGTCTTGTCTCTCTCCCTCTCTTCAGGTCTTCCTATTCCTTAAGACACAAAAATATTGAAATTAGGCCATTAATAACCTTGCAATGACCTCTAAGTGTTCAAGTGAAAGACAGAGTCACCCCTCTCTCACTTTAAATTGAAAGCAAGAAATGATTACGCTTAGTGAGAAAGGATATTGAAAATCCAGATAGGACAAAAGCAAGGTCTCTTGCACCAAACAGCCAAATTATGAATGCAATGGAAAAGTTCTTAAAGGAAATTAAAAGTGCCACTCCAGTGAACACAAAAATGATCAGAAAGCAAAATAGTCTTAGTGCTGATATGGAGAAAGTTTGAATGGTCTGGATAGATAAAACCAGCCACAACATTCCCTTAAGCCCAAGCCAAATTCAACAAAAAGCCCTAACTCTCTTTAATTCTATAAAAGCCGAGAGGTAGGAAGCTATAGAAGAAAAGTTCGAAGCCAGCAGAGGTTGGTTTATGAGGTTTAAGGAAAGAAGCCATCTCCATAACATAAAAGTGCAAGGTGAAGCAGCAAGTACTGATGTAGAAGCTACAACAAGTTATCCAGAGGATCTAGCTAAGATCATTTATAAAAGTAGCTGCATTAAACCACCAATTTTCAATATATGAAACAACCTTCTATCAGAATAAGATGTCCTTTAGGTCTTTCATAGCTAGAGAAGAGAAGTCAAAGCCTGGCTTCAACCCTGCAAAGGTCAGGCTGATTCTCTTGTTAGGGGCTAATGTACTTGGTGACTTTAAGTTGAAGCCAATGCTCATTTACCATTTTGAAAATTTTAGGGCCCTCAAAAATTATGGTAAATTTACTCTGCCTATGCTCTACGTATGGGGCAAAAAAGGCATAGGTGACGGCACATCTGTATACAGCATGGTGTACTGACGACTATTTAAAGCACTATATGGAGATATACTGTTCAGAAAAAAAAATCCATTCAATATATTACTTCTCATTGACAGTGGACCTAGTAAACCAAAAGCTCTGATGGAGATTAACAAAGAGATTAATGATATGTTCATGCCTGCTAACACAACATTCATTCTGCAGCTATGGATCAAGAAGTAATTTTGAATTTGAAGTCTTATTATTTAAAAAACACATTTTATGAGGCTTAACTGCCATAGATAGAGATTTCTCTGATGGATCTGGGCAAAGCAAACTGAAAACCTTCTGGGAAGGATTTCAGATGCCATTAAGAACATTCATAATTCATGGGAGGAGGTCAAAAGATCAAAATTAACAGGAGGTGAGACGTTGATTCCAACTCTCATGGATGAATTTGAGGGTTCATGACTCCAGTGGAGGAAGCAACTGCAGATATGGGGGAAATAATAAGAGAACTAGAATTAGATCTTGAAGATGTGACTAAATTGCTGCAACTTCATGATAAAACTTTAAGGCATGATGATTTGCTTCTTATGGATGAGGAAAAGAAGTGGTGTCTTCAGAGTATCCATGCTGGTGAAGATGCTGTGAACATTGTTGAAATGGCATCTAGGTACTTAGGATATTATGTGAACTAGTTAAGAAAGCAGCAGAATTTGAGAAGATTGACCCCTATTAAGTTCTACTGTGTGTAAAATGCTATCAAACATCATTCCATGCTACACAGAGAAATATTAAAGAGTCAACTGATGTGGCAAGCTTCATTGTTGTCTTATTTTAAGGAATTGCCACAACTACCCCAACCCTTCAGCAACCACCACCCTGATCAGTCAGCATCCATCAACATTGAGGCAAGATCCTCCACCAGCAAAGAGATCATGACTCAGTGAAGGCTTAGATGATCATCACCACATTTTTTTTAGCAAGAATGTATTCTTTAAGACATGTACATTTTTTAGACATGATGCTATTGCAAACTTAATAAACTGCCGTATAGTTTAAACTAACTTTAATATGCACTGGGAAAGCAAAAATTCATGTAACTCACTTTATTGGGAAACTCACTTTATTGGGACACTCACTTTATTACAGTAATCTGGAACTGAATCTGCAATAGTTCTGAGGTATGTAAGTGCATATATATATATGCATACCTGTCCTCCACAATTTTCAGTTTGCAGGTAGTATTCAGAATGATTGTTCTGAACAGTAGATTGTCAGTGGGTAAATATTGTATCTTATTTATCCACAGCCCACACACTGTGGATTCTAGGTAAATGTTTGTTTTAAATTAAAAAGTTTACTTTTAAAAAAATGAATTATACAATCAATGGAATATTTAGATAAATGAAGCACATTTACAGTATTTGTGGTCAGTGCTATAATAGACCTTCTTTCAGGGGGCTGTGAACCTCAGACAAAGGACACCACTGCCTCACTAGGCATTATAGTTGTCCTAATATGGAGCCCAGGCACATTTCCTACTTCTACATTAAGAACCTATTCAGGACAGGGAGATGCCAGGATAATTAACAAATATAAGAGTTGTGGCGATGGGGCTTGCTCTCTTCCAAAAAGTCACATTGGGAAGAATTTGGCTGATTCAACAGTGCACTCTCATTCAAAATATTTTAAAATATACTATTTGGGAACTAAGTCACTGATAAACGCATAAATGATATTAACAGAGATTCACCTTCAAGTGTCTCTTAATATAACACTTAAGAAAGAATCCCAGATCACATTCAGAAAATCCTGTGGGTCTCCAAATTCTAAATTCCAGGAATAATTTGCTGTTTTCCTGATAGCATCTACCCTAAGTTATTTTCATAGAGATAGTCCTTCTGATATACAGCAACATGGCAAAGGAAGAATCATTAGACAGTTTTAATTTTAATTACATTACTGTGAAATCATGTAATAAATAGGCTTAATATAAAATTTACATGATTTGAATGATGCCAGTTCCACCCATATGCCTACCTTTTCATGCACTTATGTATTTTTAAACATTTTAAATAATGACTTATTTCAAAGACACAGAAAATCACAGGAAATTATATCATAGCTATATGTACATTCAATACCAAAATGAAAAAGATATATATATTTTGTCAAATGGCTTCAGCTCTTCTTTTTGGTTTAAAAGAAAGATAATTTTACAGATTTAGCAAAATACCTGCCTCTGGATCTCTTCCCTTCCTCTCTCCCTAGAGATAACTAGTCTTCTATGGGTCAGATAGGTATTATTCATTGTTTTATACTCTTACTATAGTTTATGTATAAATATTAGACATACAACATATAATACATTATAATATAATGTGTTTATGAACGTATACTTTGCATTCCAGACTCTAAAACACTATCAAAGTTTGCACTATAACCAAATTCCAAATTATGTTTCTGTTGGTTCATAAAGTTGTAGGTCATGCATTTTAATGGCAATAGAGTACTCCAAGGCATGAACTAATTAGTTTATTAATTTATTTTACTGTGTACCAGTGAGACGGATTTTATTTTTTTACTCTTACCAAGATTTTTTCAGCAATCATGTGGCAGCATATATTTTGTGCATGTTTGAGAATTGAAGAACACACTTTTGATTTAGTTGGGATTGCTGAGGTATCTGGTATGTACATTTTTATCTTTACTAGATACTACCAAATTACTCTCCAAAATGATTGTAATTGTGTCAATTTATTCTCTCGGCATAAAGTTTCCAATTTCCACATAATTTTTCTAAGATTTATTTTTATCATATTGTAATTTCAGTAAATTTAATGGATGAAACATTATCTTACATTGGTTTTGACACTTTTTGCTCTTGTTCAAAATTCTAGTTTGTCTTTTCTTTGTTATAGTTGATTTAACATAAAAAATGTATGAATATCCATAATATTATGAATAAATTAATTTACATGCACACCCACATGTGTATGTTTGGAATCTATTCCCTTCTATTTTATGCTCCTCATTTACCATGATTTCTCTTTGCTTCAGTGTTACCTTAATTTCCTCTTTCCATTGTATCACCTATATACATATATACATGTGTGTGTGTATATATACACACACACACACATACATATATATATATATATTTGCTCTTCCTGTTCTGTAGTGTGCATGCTTACCAAAATCTAAAGTTGATCACATCATTACCCACCTCCTGAATGAAGCACATACCCCTGGGTGCTTTAACTCTGATCAGCCTCCTTCCAGCTTTCTTGTGATGATTTCTAGTGATATAATTTCACTTTATTTTTATAAGATAATTTTACCCTTCTTTATAAAACTTTATGTATATATATTAGCCGTTTGCTTACAAATTTACTTGCTCATCATGTTTTTGCATTCTACTTCATCCGTTGATTTTTTTCAAAGTTATTCTTTGTGAAGTGCATCCATTTAGTAATTCATTCCATAAGAGTCTGTGAATGGTAAAGTCTCTCCAACTTTATTTTTCTGAAAATATATCTTATTTTCTTTCACTCTATTTGAATCCTATGTTGCTTTTTGTTGCAATTTATTCCCATTTCAAGGCTGCAATATCCTCTTTGATCTCTTTCAGGGCATTCATAATGGTTTCATTTTCTTTTGTTCCCCCCCGTTCTATATAGTCCCTGTTTCCTCCAAGTTACCTGATTCTTTTTACTTTGGTACCTTTGTTTCTGGTTGGAGGATCTTCTCAACGTCTGGTAAATCTTCATTGTCTTCTCACAATTAAGAGTAAAAGGGTGGAGAACTGTAAAGCTGATGAGAAGCACTGATGGGCAAGGACATGGTGTTGGCTCCACCATCACACAGGATGATCTGGGAATCAGCCCTGTCATCACCGCACACTCTCTTCCGGCCTTCCCTCTTGGGCTAGCTAGGTGGTATAGGAGAAAGCCTCCCAATCTTCTGCCTGGGTGAGGACACGGCCTCCAAGTTTCCAGAAGCCAGACTGGGAGAGGTGGGTCAGGGGACTTAGATGGAGCATTCTTTATGTACATTTTCCTGTTCATCCCATGATTGTGCCTGGATCCCCCCATTTCAGGGACCATTCCTTTCACCATCTCTAGAGAATAAACTTCCAGACTTCTTCTGGGATGAGGATGGCTTAGTGGCCTAAAGTCATGGAGTAAAAGAAAGCATCTACATTCTCAAGCAGATTTTACCAAATCTTAATTTCTTTAAGAATTCATCTATATATTTAAAATGTTTAACAGCATTTTTGTTAAATAGCATCTGACTTTGTAAATGGTTGTTTTAGGTGAATTTCACAGTGAACTGGTTATATGAATGCTAACTCTGGGCCACGGGCTCCTCCTCACACTATTCCCATTTATTAGGCATTACTGTCCACATTTCCCAGATGAGAAAACTGAGACACAGAGGAGACAAATTACTCTCTGAATAAGATTTAACTAACAGAGCTCAACAGAGCTGGGATTTAAAACCAATGTTTGCCCATCTCCAAAGCCCATTTACAGTTGCCAATCACCCATGAACATCAATAAGATCTACAGAAAGGGCCAGCTCCCTAAAGGGTTGCAAAGCTATGTGACACATATGCACTTGTGGGTGCCTGCTTATGTGTAGATGCATATGTGTGGGTGGAAAGTGTTTAAGACATGGTATTATTATGATACTTGGTTCAAACAGTGCCACTTTTCACTGATTTCTTTTCTTCCTCCCTGCTCATTCAACGGTGTCTAATAAACACCTTATTTCCCTTCTCACTGACTTTCTATTTATTCAGTATTTTCTGCCCAAGATACCTATTGTGTTCAGGTGATCAATGTCACAGCATGCAACTGCTTTGTAACACTAGGGACTCCGAACAATAATTTTACTTTGAAGCAAAAAAGTAGTGGGGATGAGAAGGGTGGGAAAGCTATGCAGAGACATCACAGAAAATGAATGTGTGTGAATCTATAAGTTTCCAAGTGAAGCCACAATATGTGTAATGTTGCACTTTTGTTGAATCGATGGCCATTCATGAAGTGCATCTGTAAGTCTTTCAAAGATAGAAGCATCATCGTAAATATGCTCTTATTTCATGTGCCTATCATAATAGGTACAGAGTAGTCAGCCAATACATGTTACCCTTTGATTCATGCTAATATTGTTTATTTTTTAACACTTCCAAGTGAGTGGTGTGTTCTTAGGAAAGTACTTTGTTTTATTCATCAGCTATAACAAATCATGAATTTTTACTTCTCAGAGATATCCTTGTTCCCTTTCCTCCTGCTATGGAATAATCAAGGTCAGGTCTTGAGCTCAGGATCTGCATTTTATACCCATTCTACATTTATCAATGTGCTAGCTCAGTGAGTTGCACACAGTAGGCCCACAGCATGTACATCATTAACAACAAAGATTTTTATCTCTTTGGAAAAATATAATTTACATTTAGTTACAGCTTTCTGGCTGTAAATTGCTGGCCTAGCCGATGGGGCAGAAGACAGAGTACACAGCCAGTCCTAGAGAAATCTGTATTATATGGCCCCCTCCCCAGGCTCAGGAAAAGGAAAGTGAAGAATGCCTGTACTAGTGATCTTCATTGGACTAGTTATTTGTCATATCTCCACTAAATTTCACATTTTTCTAGAAGTTAGCCATGGTAATTCTAACTAAAGCAGAATCCACTTTTTTCTCCTTGCCACCTTATTCTCGCTACACCTACTTAGATTGCATTAGAATATTTAATTATTTTTAGTTGATTTATAACTGTCTTTTCTTCTAGACCATAAGCATCATAAGGTTAAGCAACAAGTCTTTTTCATATATCCCCAAATAATTAGAGATTCAATGTTTATTTAATGAATGCACAATTCAGTGAAGTCCTTCTTTCTCCTTCCTCGTTTAACCCAGAATTGTTAACTCTTATTCAAAGTATAGAACAACCACTCGACCTGCCACAACTTAATTTCCATGCTTAGCACAAGCTTCCCAGGCAACACACCCAGGGAATTGTGTTTCAGAGAGTTGCGGGGGCTCTCTGCAGTCGAAATGCTCTTTCCACATGAAATCCCCCGTGCTCTCTCTACAGCACAGTAGCAGTTGAGAAGCAAGTCACTTGTGCAAAGTCTGAAAGACTATTGATAAAAGAAAAAGGATGACATTTGCTTCTGGCAGTTTTACTCAAAGGTATGTGCCTGAAAGTCACAGAAAGATATCACGAGCCATAGGAAATATGAGCAATCTCTGAGGAGGATGTAGGAGAAAGATATTCACAGGGTAGGAGCATTATTTCTCATTCTTGGCAAGAGAAAGCAACACAAAGACTGGAAGAAGAGTGAATGGGACTTGGCAGGTGAGACCAGGAGACAGACTGCAGCAAACTGACGCTCACCTCTCATGGGCTGTGACCTTGAGCCTTACAGGAGCCTCTGTGTGAGTTACAGTCCAGTGGTAAATGGAGCTAAGGCCCACACCTCATTGCAAACACTTGCAGTGATGGTTTAGAAAGGGAGTTAAACAGAATGTGGATGGATAAATCTGATCAGGCAGATGTCTAGTTTGACAAGAGATAGAGAAAAATAGATACATACAAAGGTTCTATGAAAGATATTGGTTGGTGGAAACGAAGAAAATTGCCCTAAATTTTGTTATATCTCAGCTGAGATTTCACGGAAAAATTCACCAGAGAAATTAGCTGAGTCCCAATCAGTGTTCTAATGCAGCCATTTATAGTGCTTCATGCTGCTTCATTGCCCAGGTAATTACTTTTTATCAACCTAAAATTCTCCAGTACTTTCAGCTGGAAAGCTAGTCTTTATTTCCCCACGTTGGAAGTCAGTAGCAAAATGTTATTGACCCGGTTCTCTTGTCATCTTCCACTTGAGTGCAGGTGTGTGTGTAAGAGAGTCCTGTACATTATTTACAGTTGCTTTCATGGATGCTTTTAAAATGATACTCTAATTCCTCTTCCACATGACAGCCTTTCAAGTTTTTCAAGAAAGCTTTATTTCAGCTTCTGAATCTGTCTCCAAGAGAAGTCATATCCTCCATCCCAGTCTTTTCCATGTTCTTCACTTGGCATGAGTCTACACACTTTACCACTTTCAGCACTCAATCTCCCAGAAGGTATAAACACTTTTTAAATTAGAGACACCCAGAATTGAACACAAAATCTTGGCAATGAAAAATGCAGTGGGCCATGAGCTTCCCTTGATCCTGATCCCTCACTTCTACCATTATACCCAAAGATTCCTTTACCTTTTTAGCAACCATATCATACCGCTAAACCTGCTATAATAATGACCTACCTAGTGCTTACTACATGCCAGGCACTGCTCTAAGTACTTTACGTGTCTTAACTCATTTAATTAGTCTTATGGATAGATAGAAAGGAGGATGTATTATTATATTAATAAAAGGGAGAGTGAATGAGTGAAGATTGTGTCCTAAGAATAACTTCATTTATCACATTCATTTATTCATTCAATAAACATTGAAAGTAAAGTTTTAAAAATAATTTCATATGGTCAAGTTATCAGTCAGGGTTCAATGAGAGAATCAGAACTTCTTGGAGTAATACAGATTAAAGGGTTGATTACAGGGAGCTGACTATAAGATTGCAATCTGGTTAACCAGTCTATGTATGACTTTTGCTTTTGTACATGGTGCTGAGGCCTGAAGTCCACAAGGCAGGGATTCAGGATGGAAAGATGGATTTGAAACTCTGTAGAGAAAGAACAAATGGGAATCATAGAATATTCCAGAACTCATGATGGTAAACAGGCACCTTTATTAATTTCTTACTGCTTCCAAGCCTTCAACTTGGATAATGCGTCACCATACAGAAGAAGCTGGTGCCCTTCCTCATGGAGCTAAACATGTACCTAACACAGCAGTTGGAGATGCTCATGAAAGAGATCCAGTGGTTGCCAGAGGAGGAGCTGCAGGCCTGGTTACTGCCCAGGCCAATATGGTGAGCTAGCAGACCTGTGTCCACCTGTGTTAACTTCAACAGCACCTGAGCCTACACCCACCTTCTGATTATAAAAATGGCCTGCAGAAGTTTCTTTGGCAGCTAGTTCTAACCCAGAACCATACATTGAGAATTCTGAGAGATGAAATAATGACACTCTGTGAGAAGCCTAGGTAAGAAAGGGGTGGTAAAGGGTTTGAGAAATAACTCCTGGTGAGTATTGAGCCCTGACTCCTATTAATTTCAGCCATGAACATTTACTCCTTTATATGATGTGAGCCAAGAAATCTCTTTGTGTGGTTAAACTCGATGAACTTGGAATGTCTTAACCTTGACATTTGAAGAGATCTAATCAATGCATATATTGCATGGAAAACTGGAGTATTTACTGTGGGATGTAAACTGGGAGAAGGTAATTCATTTAGTAAAAGCAGTGTCTAATACATGTACATCCTCAAAGCAATAAATGAATGAATGAGAGTTTCAAAAATGAGAAACATTATCATATATACATGTTGAAAGTATAAGGTCATTAGGATTGACTTTTCTCCATGAATTCCATTCTCATTAAAAGTGCCTCCAAATGAGTTAGGCATCATTGTAGTTCCCAAATAGACTTTATGGAACAATTTTCCTGCCATTTCTTGTCATCAAAGTGACGATAGAACTTTCCAACACTATAAAGACCAAGACATCTGTGTCCAGTTTATGTATTTATTTTCCTTTAAATGCTCAGCAAAGTGTCTAACGTCATTGTGGGCCAATAATTACAATTAATTAAGGTAAAATTAATCTAATTAAATAATTTGTACTTAAAGCAGATTCCTCTAGTGCTATCAGCTCTGAGATTTCAGGATTATATAGTGCTGGGGGAAAAATGAAGTCCCAGAGATTACTGTATTTTTATATTCATTTATTTTCCTGAATTTAATTTCTCCATTCTTTCACAGTAGTGTTTAGTCAGGATTTTGGGGGGCTCCATAATTAAAAGTGTCTGAAAGCACACTCTCTAGCAGTTCTGACCATCTATGTTTCACTCTGGTGATTTATTAGGGAAAAGAAGAATCTCACAATGAACTCTTTTCAATGATTCAAAGGGAAAACATTTTTCTCAGCACCCCTAGAATGTGCTTCCCAGCTGCTGATTCTGGTTTTGCTGCTTAGGTAACTGCAAGCAGTAGGAAATGCAGGCAGGGCTTTTCCCAGGGAGATGCGTAAAGACTGGCCTGCATGTGAGGAAGCTGAGGAAAATCACAACCATTTTCACCCATATCACACATTCTGCTCTTCACCACAATGTGCCCTGTGTAGTTATTTAAATTGATTTTCTCCAATGTATCAGTTAGCTACATATGCTGAAGACTTGATTAACAGTGGCTTCAACAAGTAGAGGCTTGTTTCTCTTAGATCTCAAGAAGTCTATAGCCAAGGGGCCCACTGACAATTGTTTAGAAGCATAGTTCTAGAAATCCAGATCCTCTTCCTTATGATTCTGTTAACATTTGTCTTACTACAGATACATTAAGGTTTCAAGATGGCTATTATAACTTCGGAGTTCATGTTCACGTCAGGGCAGGGGCTGAGAGGTGGGGAAAACAAGGCCACAATGTCAATTGCATTTATTGGCATTGGTTCTAAGAAGCAAACATCTTCCTAGGACATTCCGCAGACTTCACTTATGTCTCAATGGAAAGACTGTCATGTGGCCACCCCTATGGCACTGGAGGCTGGGGTTCTCTCCGTCAGTTAAAAAGGGAAAATGGACCCTGGGAAGGTAACTAATGACTGGCTATTTTTTCCTAAATAGTTATGAGTTCCTTGAAAGCAGAAACTAAGTTCCATACTTCCTTCACATTATCTTTTTACTTATTTTTTTTCATATCTTCATTTGCCTTTACTGACCATAAGTGGGAGGGAATTGGCCCATGACACCTGATGACTTATTTAAATCAAAAATGAATCAGGTCAGGCTCAGTGCCTCATGCCTATTATCCCAACACTTTGGAAGTCCAAGGGGGAAAGTTTGCTTTTGAAACCAAAAATCCAAGATCAGCCTGTGCAACATAGCAAGACCCCATCTCTAAAATAAACACATACATACATACATACATACATATTCAGGCACTGTAGCTCACAGCTGCAGTCCCAGCTACTCAGGAGGCTAATGCAGGAGGATTGCTTGAGCCCAGGAGTTCGAGGTGGTGGTGAGCTATAGTCATGCCACTACACTCCAGCCTGGGCAACAGAATGGGACCCTTTTTTAAAAAAAAAATCAGCTTACACATAAAGACACCCACACTTATGATGATTTAATGTTTCAAACTGACAATCAGGTACATGTAGATATTGCCCACTACAAGTTTAGTCAAGTAAGCTGGGAAACCTGAAAGAAGCAAATAAAGACAAACAGCAAAAGGCTCAGATCCTACGAAAAATTTGTGAAATTTTAATAAGCATCCAGGCATAGAAAACAAATCTTACCTGAAAGAGGAAAAGAAATATACTGGTAGACATGATTTTAAAGGCAATGGCAGAATGCCAAGGGATTTTTGAGGGATTAAGAAGGGTAGAGCTCCATAAATATTATTTTTCGTGACACTGACAGATATAGAAATATAAGCTTAAATATGTTGCTTAAAATATGAAAGAAGCTACCACAACAACTAAAATATGACATGTAATTTTAAAGCTAGGAAAAAAATAAGGAAAAACAAAATTTAAACAAAAGTAAAATGATAGAAAAGGAAACATCTAGAATAGCATAGAAACAAAAGGCAAAGCACACGTCAGACTTAGACTTCCAATTCAAGTTATTTGTTTCCATCAAGAACAATTAGTAAAGTTGGATAAAATAGGGAAAAAAATCATCTATATAAAGACACGTGTGCTGATGAGGCTATCTGCACTTGAATGTCCAAGAGAAGAGAAAAAGTAGAGAGAATGAGTCAACATTCTGCAAGCCACTTTCCTCCTCAGGGATGTTCCTAACTTTAGAGAGCAAGAGGATAGCAGACTAATCATAAATCCACAGTAAATGACTGATATTTAGCAATCTTACATGATAGAAGAGAGTTGAGGCCCACAAAGGATGGCAGGATATGAAAAGCCAAGATTTCAAAGGAAAGAGAGGTGCAGAGACCCTAGCCCAACACTGGTGGTTCTGAGGCATTTGCTGAATTTCAAGCTGTGCAGGGTAGGAGAGGCTAATCAGAAAAACCACTGAAATCTACAGCTGAGGTTTTGGAAGTATCATCTTACTGAGGAGGCAAAATTGGAGTCCAGGGCCTGCCAAGAATAGAGGTCCTAGTAAACATCGCAGTCTTTCAGCTGGGGACACTAGAGAGCTTACCCTGGGAGCCTGTATGAACCAAAGGTTGACTTGAGTCTTTCAACCCATCTATAATCAGTGTCTGGTTGGAACAAGAGAATAAGCTGATATATTTCCATCTATCCCTAGAGCAGAAGATGAGTCTTCTAATAAAGTCTTCCTAAATAAAGTGTCAAGACTCCAAGAAAGAATTATCAAACCTGCTAGGGTTCTATCTATCTATCTGTTCTATGGTCCACCTGTGTTCCTTATATCTCTTCTCCAAAGGAGTGTGCATTGAAAGATATGTATATTAGCATTTATATCAGTGGTATTTATAACAACCCCAAATTGAAAAAAAAAAAAAACAAACTCGAATGTCCATCAATAGTAGAATGGATCAAAATGCTTTGTGAGAGTTATACAATCAAACACTATCCAACAATGAAACTACAAACTTGCTCTAGCAATACCATGGATGAATGGCACAAAAAAAATAAATAAAAGAAGCCTGATACAATTATATACTGTATGATTTCTTTTATATAAACTTCAAAAACAAGGAAAGTAATCTATGGTAATAGTAGTCTGAATGACTACCTTCAGGTGATGTAATGACTGGGATGTGGCCTGAGGGTAGTTGCATTAAGTAATATATCTTAATCCAGATGACAGTTACATGAGTATAATTCACTTTGAAATATATCATGAGTTTTGTAGTAATGACTCTACAATTTTCTGTGTATTTTTTAGTAGTTAAGAAAAGGTTGAACAAATAAAACAACCACATATATTATTAAAATAAATGAAAACAGGTTGAATCCTCCTAATTAAGACCAACACTGGGACTAAAAAAAAGTTTAATTTATAACTTTTGCAAGAAATACAAATTACACAGAAGGATAATAATAGACAGGCAGATAATGAGAAGTGCATAAGTATACATCACAGATATAGCAGAGATGGTAATATTAAAAACAAAAGTAAAATCATGCAGCAAACATTAACTCTGAAAAAGGAAATGATTTACTAAATGGGATAATTTACAATAAAGACACATCTGTCATAGATCTTGGTTCTGAATTCACTAACTCCAAAGTGTATAAGAAAAGACATAGGAATACAACCAGTTAAAATGAAAAAGAACCATGGTCTTGGGGTAGATTGATATATATTGTTACATTTTTGCAGTTCAATTAGATCAAAATGATAGATATAGTATTAGAATAACACAATTAACATATTAAATCAAGTAGATGATATAAGATGTCTTTTATATAGAACTTTCCTAACAGTGTTCCAATACCCTTGCAAACAAAATATCGTAGCCATAATCATAAATTCTCTATTCACAATGTAATAAAACCAAAAATTTATAGCAAAATGATTAAAAAAACTAATCACTTGGAAATAAAAACAAAATCCTCTGCTAAATAATCTGTAGATCAGAAAATAAATCAAAACTCTGTTACAAGTTATTAAAATTAACTACAATAAGATTGTTATGTATCGCAGTAATCTCATTGTAGCTATTTAGTCACTTACAGGTGTAGTAGAAGCTTTACAAAGAGCAAACTTCATTTACTTAATTATATTTTTCATTAAATAAGAAAGAATACAACTAAATGAAATAAATATTCAACTCCAGAAACTAGAAACTTCCCATCAAAATAAACTTAATAAATTAGTAAATATTAAATTAGAAAATAGTGAAAGTTTCAAAGGCATCTGAAAGCTTTTTAAACAAAATATTAATAATATGTATCCAAACATATCAAGTATATTAATGAAAGGCAAGGAAAAGCAAAATGTAAATTTACAACATAATGAATACTAAAGGGCTCAAAAATCATAGTCATCCGAGACTGCCTGATAATGCTGCCTTTTCGCAGAATTGTAAAGAGCTCTTTTTTCCTTCCTTCAACCTGATCAAAGTATGCTATACATAGTGGAATCTTTTTTAAGTTACCTGGAGATCACCCCTCCGAATGTACAGTGCTGCCGCAGATTTTTCCCCATGGTTATGTTTTCTATTAATAATTTCATCAGACAGGTTTTCTTGTTTATTGTTGTTTTTACCATTGCAAGACCTTTTACCCTTTCTCTTTGTTAGTTTCCAAAGAAAGTTAAAAGCCTAAGGGACAACAGCAGTGTGAACAACTTGTTCCTTTACTATAAGTTGAGCATGCACCTTATACAACACAGTACTGCCTAAGACAGGTCTGCAGCATTGGCTTAATCTCAAGGCTTGGCTCAGTCCTTCACCTGAAGGCCCCTACCTTACCACCTCAGGCCATCTCCTGGGAAGCAGGGATCCCAACACCTCATGAAGAAAGGATAAAAGAAAACAAAAGAGCTATTTATTCAAATCTTGAGCCTTGAGCTAAACATGTAAAGAGGATGAGGCACCTGCACATGTACCCTTTCAATGCACATTGATCTTGCCTATTAGTAAATGAAGATTTTCTAGCATCCTGGAAACTGAACCATCAGATAAGCCAGGAGTCTCCAACCCCAGGCCAAGAACTGGTACTGTGGCCTGTTAAGAACTGGGCCACATAGCAGGAGGTGAGCAGCAGGTAAGCAAGCATTACTGCCTGAGCTTTGCCCCCCTGTCAGATCAGAGTCAGCATAAGGAGCATGAACCCTATTGTGAGCTGCACATCTAATGCCCTGATGATCTGAGGCGGAACAGTTCCATTCCAAAACCATACCTGCCCCAACCCCCAACCCATGTACCCGTCCCTGGTGCCAAAATGGTTGGGAACCATTGAAATAAACAACCCCAGCTGGAGAGGACAGAATGGCAAGGGAAGGAGAAAGCTGCTTTCAGCTACACAATTGTTTTCCCCAGAGGAGAGTGGTCTCAGGCAGGAAAGGCTTCACACAGGCTGAGTAATAAACACACAGCACCTGACCTCAGTGTCAAGGGACTCAAGAGCAGAATGAAACACTGCTCGTGGCAGGGTTAAAGATGTGGATGTAAATTTTCATTTCCTCCTCCTGATAACAGGGTGTGAATAATCAACGTGAGTTTGCTACCACATATAAATGGTTCCTAATGATTGTTTAAATAAGGGCAGCTCTGCTGTTAGCGCACATTATAAAAGCAAAGTTCCTCGGAATAGACCGTGCCTTGAGAACAATATTTTTCTAATTCTTGATACAGAATGGTGAGTTGAACAAACTGTATTTTTATACATCACTGTGAAAACAATTAGTTCTTTTCAGTAAATAAAAAGGCATCTCCAAAGGAAATTCTTTAGAAAATAGTTCATCAACTAAAGCCTAAGGGAATTGAAAGGAAAATAACTGTTGCAGAGGATTTAGAAACTTTTTTTTCTCACCTTCAATTAGAAAAACAATATATTTAACCCCTAGTCTTTACCACTTTGTGGGGCGAGATCATTGCTTTTCTTCTCGATTCTATTCCCCAGCGATTTACTGGGACACCAAGTGCTGAAATTACAAAGATGAATGAAAACCCTGAAGTTTGTCAGAGATAGATCTATAAGCATGTGTAATTCATCTTGCAGTTTCTTCTACTGAGACTTTATTGCAGGGATTTAAAAATATCAGTGAGAATTCTGGCATGTGGAGTCATCAACCAGTAATAACTTTGCATCAAATTCCCCAATGGTCTTTCTGATTGGCAGGTATGCCCAGGCTAAGAAGTAACATTTCCTCCTTCTTAGACTGGTTCTGCCCTCTACATAAAGGAGGCAGCAGCTCTAATGAAAACTCTTAAAGGTAATAGATCTTAATGTACATTCAGTGCCATGTCAATGGCAGATCTCTGCACTATAGATAACAAGTTATAAAGGACTCCCTGGCCGTCTAAAGTTGCTAAACGCAGAGTATAAAATTTCAAGACTAAGTGGAACTTCATAACTATCCTATTTAGTGTTACTTCATTATGTGAAAAGAAACTAAAATTAAAGAAATGTAGATAGTTTGACGAATGCCACCAAATATAAATGGAACTTTCAGAATTCTTGATGCACAACAGTTACTCATTTATTGTGTCAATATCTTTATGATGCTCAACATGATTATTTTATTAATTAGATATATCATGATCCTTTACTTAATTATTGCTTAAAAAATCTTTGACAGTCCCTGAAGCACAGGAGATGCGTGAGAGAACATGAGAAAGATATTGTCTGGATTTTCAAAAGCAGGTAGAAGATATACTGTGGAAATATCTAACTGACAAGTTTTGGCTGATGGCTTCAACATCATGAAGAGTAAGGTGGCAGTGATTGTTGGTGAATAATGTGAGGAAAAACATCACATCACATCACACTAACTTTGTTTTCTCATTACCCAGATGAAGGCTGTTGAAGTAAGTTTATCCTGGCTTTAGAAAAGCCTTGAAAATGATTTTTCATTGATGCTATGAAAAGAATGCTAGCCAGAGCACACCCATGTTAGTGAACTGTTTATGTAACCACTTGAACAGTATGTCTAAAGTGAGATAACTCATTGGCTTCTTGTCAGCCTGGACAAAACTTCCAGGGGTGCCACTCTGGATTCCTCCCTTGGCTTTATTTAGGTCAATATTTTTAGTTCATTAACTGACCAAGAAAGAGTAGAATATGTATTTGTCAAATGGAACTCTTGGTAAAGTTGGAAAGGAGAACTAAGTATCATAAACGGCAAAATCAAGGTTCAAAATTATCATGAATATTTGTAATGCGAATATAATGAAATCTGACAGTTACAAATGCATGAAGTTCCATATTTAGGGTCAAAAAATTTGTTTCCATCAATAAAGAATGAGGGAGAACATCAATTTTTGAAAGTTTTATTTTTAAAACAGGCTCAATATGAGCCTGTGATCTCATACACCTATTGCATTCTAAGACTGAATTTGCATGAATTTAGAGATAAGTTTACTGAGTCACAGTCTTAAGTTTAACCCTGCACCGGGAATTTTGGACTTTCAATTTCATAATTTTACAAGAATGTTGGTCAGTTAAGAAGCATGGAGCAGAGAAGGAAGGGGGCAGGGAGATCTGGAAAGGTCAATGATGTCAATGAGTCTGGAGAATCATATAAACAAATTGTGGTTGAAGGAAACCCAGTCACTCATCAAAAATTCCTTCACATTCTAAGTACTTTTTACTTATGATTTTATGAAATCATAAAAATCTAGAGGAATGAGCCTCAGTTTTTTCCCTGAAGAGCAGTTGCATAGGAAGAAATACAAATACTTCTAATATTATGTATCAGGATGGAACAGTCTATGGAGCACCGTGGGGGCAGAGACAGCAATGATTTTTCATAGGGAGAGGAGCAGGTAAGGGAACTGGGATGGTTTAAAATTTGGAATATTTAGCTTGGAAAATAAAGCAAAGGAAAAGAGCTATCTAAATAAGCTTGATAATGCCTTTGCCAGCTTACAAATATGCCACATTCATTTCACTTCTATGTATCTTTCCTGTTACCCCTGCTGTGATTTTGCTGGTCCTAAATTCTACCCACCCTTCAAGACTTTGTTGCAAATCAAGCAGTCTCATTTTGCCAACCACAGGGTTACGTCTGTCTAAACTGTCCCCAAGAGCAGTTATTTCCATCACACCTGTGTCATTTGTAACATTATCAAATGCTTCTATCATGACTGATGCACTGGAGCAGCTATTTTCTTCCCTTTACAGCAGGGGCAAAACATCTTTTTTTTCTGGTTTTTGACCATGCTTTGTACCATGCTGAGCACACACAGGCTCAATAAATACTTTGGAGACAGTCAATTAGCCCTTTTTCTTTAATAAAGAACAGGTTCTAGTCCCCTGACTATGTGAGCTGACAGAAGTCCCTTTTTTTTTTGTCTCTTGTTTTCTCTATCTATGAAGGTAGAATTCTTCAACCTGAACTTCCAGCCCTTTGTGGATAGAGTGAGAAGGCACTGCACATCTCCGGTGAGGCTGTCAGGTTAAAGTTCGCAGGCCCCAGAGGTGGTCCTGGATCCAGTACAGCCTCTGTTCCAGTTGTAATGATTTTGTTCATAAAGATTTGAGTCACAGGAAAAACTAGTATCTTTATGTCTTCATATGCTGAAACGTGTCAAGGTATCTTGCTTTATCTTTCTGATTTCTGATTTTTTATTTTATCTATTACAAAGCTGCTAAAAGCCTCAGGCAGGGGCAGTGGTTCTTTGGGCTCAGTGGTGCACATCCCAGTGACGTCTTTCTTTCTGAAAACCAATTTTTCCTGTCAAATATGCCTTCATCTTGTTACAAATAAGGCTCATGGATCAGCCCTGCCCAGGGAACCATCAGCATGCTGGTGATTGCTTTGAAAGCAGTATTATACTAATACAGTATCTCATTAGAACACCTTTGCTGGGAGCTGGGGGTTTCCTCCCAATCCAAATGGAGATTGTGGTGTTCATTATGTGTTCAGAAGCACTGCTTCTCTGTACCATAAAATAGCCTGAGGGAGAATCTTTTGACCTTTGTAATTTCTTCAATATTATGTAGGGTTCTTTTCTCCATTTCAACAGAGCAATAACTATTGCAGACCTGTACATTATTTTATCCTAACATGCAATTAAAATACAGAAAAAAAAAGTCTTCTGAAGACATTTCAGTGGTGCCACGCCATCCAACTCTGGGAGGGGCATACATGAGGGAATTGTGCTGCAGGTGGGAAGATTCAGAATCCATTTGGGATAATTTCCAGCAACTGGCTCAGGGCCTCAGGTTGCAGAATTAGCTCATCCAGGGCTTCAGCTCCTGGCTTCAGACTCATTAAGACTGTCTTGTCAGGGTAGGTATGTGATCAGTTTCTAGACTGCAAACTAAGCCCAATAAATTGCTGAACTCGGCTTAAAAAGTTAATTACCAAATCTGGTACATTTGGTGCAGAAAAAGGACAGAAACTACAAATTAATGTGCAGACAAGCAGTTTTTTAAGAAAATTACCTTCAAAAATATAAATATTCCACTGCTACTGCTTGAGCCTGAGCAAGCAGCCCTGATTCACCTCTGAGTTCCTGTTTTCTTTTCTATCTGCCAACTTATTTCCTTGTTCTGTTTTCATAGAGGTGCCTGCAGGGATGTGTTTCAAAACTGTATCAAACACAATGCACAAGGTGTGAGTGAATTTTCCAGGCACCTTAAAAATGCCCACATTTAAGCTAAATATGATGGGCTTGTTGGTAGGAATATTCATTGGGTCCCACTTTATATGTTTTCTTAAACGGTTATTCTTTTTATGGAGAATATTCCTTGATGTATTTTGGATTTTTTTTTCCAACTAGTGGTATAAAAAGTAATTGCTGTAGTGTCCATAGTGGGTCACACCATGAATCTGTGTATGGTATATTAGGAGCTGTGACAGGAAGCAATGAGGCCAAGAGCACAGCTATTCTGCACTGGGAACAATTTAGGAGGCTGGCTGGGCAATCCCCACCGGCTGCCTCTCTCCCACTCTGTTCCCTTTGGCCATGGTTCAGGTTTGGTATAGTAGAGTGAAGAAGGGGGCCCTCATCTATTTGTTTCCATCTTCTTTGTCTTCATGGCTTGAACATAAATACGATTTCCTTAACCAGATATGTTTGAACAATCCCAGGCTTCCAGGGCCAGGTTCAAACATACTACGAAAAAGGGGCTGAGCAAGGTGCTGTAGAGAATAAACTCTGTAAAAGTAGATACCTGCCTTTCTAGTCTTTACCCCTATGGTGCCTAGCATAGTGCCCGGAATAAAAAATCACAGCTGTCACTTAGTTCTTACTGAATTAAGAGGGAATCGTGAAGAAGAGAACGCGTGATCTACTTAGAATTTCACAGTCTAAAGAGACCCTGTGCTCAAAGGCTGGTGTGTAGAAGTGTAATATCTTAAAAGAAGTATGTGCAAGTGCTTTGGGATCACCAAGAATGGAATGCCTGCTGGATGTGGTAGTGTTTCGATAAATGTTGAAGAAACAGTCTGAGCAGTTTTACACTCCCAATATTTCATGCAGAATACTTTCCGGAAAGATACTCTGTTCTTTATTTCTCCAGCCAAAAAGAACTAGCATTTCCAGAGTGCTTGCTGGGAGACAGGTGCATGCTAGGTGCTCCAACTTAGTGTATCCAATCCTCCAAGCAGTTTTGTTATATAAATATATTATACATAAATATAGTTGTACCAATATAACAGATGTAGAAATGGAGGCTCAAGAAATAAAGGTCATTTTTCAAATGTTTAATAGTAAGAAGAAGAACACTAAGGCTTTGAATCTAAATACGTCTTAAACATAAAACCCGTGACACATCCATACCACCATGCTATAAAACTAGGGAAGAGGAGAAATAAAATTCTGACTTTTTTGCTAGGAAGAAAAACTGTATATGATTAATTGCTCCAGCTCCTGATTCTTCAAGTGGTTAGTTTATTACTTTGATGCCTTTCTATCAATACCTCATAACTTTTATTTATTAAAAATCAGAGAAAAAAGAAAATTCACATAACCAGTCACCACCACCACCTCCTGTCCTCTTCAATTTATCTTGGAAAACTTTTGCAGTTGGCTAATGGTTACGCCACCAACAGAATAACTTCTCTCTCTTTCCTCATTAAACTAAAGAGAAAAAAAAATAAATGGATACAGCATTATCTTTGTTGACTGGTAGCTCATTACAGAGGCTAATAAGATAAAATACATTCTCATATACTGATCATTGGAGCTCAGAGAATTTGAAGAGAGCCACCTGCTGAGTAAAGTATCCATTTTCACTTCTAACTTTGTATGTATTAGTCCGGTCAATTTCCCCAAGCTGGCCAGATTAGGAAAGTTTTATTAAAATAAATGGAGATGAGATTTAAAGTTAGCAGAGAAAAACAGAAGCTGAGCCTGAGCCCCCCACCACCCCGGCTCCCCCAAACACACACACACACACTCTTTGCCTTTGACCAGGTGTTGTGACCACTTGGTGGAGGTGTGTGGCAGAGACTTCAGTGTATTCTCTAAAACCAGGCTTTCTTTCTTGGACACAGCTAGGCTACGTTTCCCAGCCTTCCCTGCAAACAGCTTCCGTCTTCCATTTTTCATCTCTCTCAGAAAAATGTATGCTATTTTGAGATGTAAGCAATAAAACATGTATAATTTATATCTGACATGAATTTCTCTCCCTCTCTCTCTCTTTCCCTCCTTCCCTGTCTCTCCCCCTCTCTCTATCTGCTTCATAATCTATACTAATTATTTAGCTCATGGTGACATAAAAACCACATATTAAATATGTAGACTTTTTTAGACTGGGTTCCTGAATGACTTCATAAGCATCACTGCATCGCATGGCCAAATAAATTCACCGATTGAATTTTAAATGAGAAGTAAATGTGTATGCATTAAGTGCCTGAGATTTCAAGAACTGTCTATTACCATAGATAATGCTAATTTAACTAAGATATACCACTTAATAGATTTTTAGCTATAGAACGGATACATGTAGTTTTTTCCTTTTTAGAAAAAGACTTAGAAAAATCCTATTATCACATTTGAGAGTACTTGCATCAAAATCTTGATATAAATATATCTATTTAGATATCTATCAAAAGATGTACAGATAGATAGAAATATAGACGTGTTCCCTAACAAAGAGAAATTGGCATCTGTACTCAAATTTGGCACAGACTTATTATGTGATAACATAATAGGTTCCCATAGAGCTTTTATGAACTTACTTGAACTGAAAACTTAACCAAATTCAATACAGATGGTTGGAAGTTATAACTGCAAATCATTTAATATCACATCAATAAAAACTTCCAGATGTAATCTAATTGATAAACAGAGAAATACAAAAGACGGACTAAGTAAGAAAAATAAGAGAAGACAAAGAAGGTCACTTTATAGTTGTTTTTGTGAAATTCTCCATGCAAGTTTTATCTGGAAGATCTAAGTACCAATCTCTTAGATTCAAGTAGTTAGGATGAAGTCAAGAAGAAAAAATTCGGAATTTGATAAGAAGTGCCATTGTAGATTCTAAGCTCCTTGTAGAAAATAAATCTCTCAAGAACCAGAGTATGTTCAGTTCAATAAAAAGTTTGAAGAGATGACAATGAATAAGCCATTTTGCTAAATTAAAATATAAGTAACAGATAAGGTGTAATAGGAGAGCTTCATAATCCAAAGGCAAGACAATTTCAATACTGTGTGGTAAATCCCAATAGAGGCATACACAGTGTACAACAGAAATTTGGATAGATCACAGGAATATTATTAGAGGAGATGATAACGTAGCTGGACCTTGAAAGGAAATAACTTCTGTTTTCTGAAAACAATGGTAGAGAGACACAGACCGGGTCTCTTTTTCTATCCCGTTCTGCTCCAAACCCCTTTTATGTCAGAAGAGTTGCATACACAAATTTTGTATAATTCTTATTAAGAATAAATCTATAAAAAAGACTGAAAACATTAAAAAGTGCTCCCAATCAGATGAAGGATGGGGAGTTCCTGAATGATAAAAATCAAATCATATCAGATCTATAGAGAAACATCATAGGCAATGACAGTTCAAAACGCATTCCCAACAATAAGAGCTGTTGATGTAGTGACAGTGAATGGAATGGAGTGTGTTGAGCTACAAATAAGGGCATTGAAAACAGTTTTATCATCAACTCACTTACAATAGTGTCTGGATATGGGCCATTCTAAGGTTTGTTCTGTGGGTTCACTACAGCATCAAGGACCTTCAAGCTCTTGCTGCATTACTTCTCTGCTAACATCTTCATCTTATCAAGGTCATTGAAAATTTCTTATAACTCCAAACACCATCTCCTCACATAAAACCCCCGAGGCAGGAGAAAAAGGAAGCAGGGAGGAAAGATCTTCTTCTTACATAGCTCTTTCTTTTATAAGGGAGGAAGGAGAAAAATCTTCCCATAAAACCTCAGCATACTTCTTAGTACTTATGTCCTTTACAGCCAGATTCACACGACATGTTCACTTCTTGACCAAGCACAGACAAAGACAATAGAGCCTGTCACGAAGAAGTAAACAAATAATCATTCACACTCTGGGGCTAGATACAGCACCTCCTCAAAAATGAAGTTTCTCATAGTAAGAAATAAAGGGCTGATGGTGGATAACTAATTGCGCCAGGCACATGGGACTCAAACTTAGATTCAAGTAACAGAAGGAGCTGGACATGATCTAGCAATAATTGTCAGGAAGGTTGTTATTAGAACTTCATTGAAATAATGAGGTTCATGTATCCTTTCCATTTCTCCAGCTTGTGCTTAACAGTGGTCATTGCTTGTGCTTGAAACCAGATAAGCCAGATAAGTAATTGGACTGGTAGAATATGCCCCAGATGGTTTCCTAATCCAAGAAGAAGTACAGCGAATATCAAGCCCATATTAGAAATTGTCAGCAAATTCCACACATCAGCATGTCCTTTCCCATTGAACATAACGAAAGGAAAACTCCTAGAATCAGAACTTCCATTTACAAGGAGGTAATCAGAGATCCTCAACAAAAAAATATGGTTAAAGAATCATGGAAGAGAAACACCAAGCTAAACCCAATGAACTGAAAACTAGGTTGAAGAGTACAAGCATCAGGTAAGCACAAAATAAGTAAAAGTGTTATTGTCAAAGAACCTCAAATAACTATTATATTTATAAAATGATTACAGGCTTCTAGAAAAACCAAAATGAAAAACACAATCAGTTAGAAATATTGAAAATGAAAATCAAGACAACTGTAAGGGCAAATACAAATTAATACAAAGAGGCTTAATTCTCCCTGTTGAAAATAAAGGAATAGACTCCCCCTTTCCATTTATTAGAGCATTTACTTTAGAAAACTTTACTTGCAAGTGATTACTCTGTCTTTTTGAAATGTGTGTAAATCTTTCTAAAAGGCAAATAAGTTTATTTCCAGCCTTACAACCTAGGAATATCTGTATCAAGTACCTAGGAGCCATTTTTTTTTAAATGGAATCATCCAGAGAAATAGTGCCGCTTCTCCTGTTTTCTGTGGAAGAGTAAGAGTATAACTTAGGTAGGCCGAGTTCCACCAAGTTGCATGATGACCTTCTGTCATACAGACATGAAAAGTGTATTTTTTTCTTTGCATAACATACCTAGTCAACAAAACTACCAAGTGAATTTAACCTGAAGTACGTGTGACAAATGGTGCTATCAAATCTTCTTACTTGAGGACTAGTTATTGTTTATCTTAAGAACTCATACGTAATGTATTGTATCTTCTGGGCTGTATAAAATGGTAAGATTTCTTTTTGTCTTTGTTTTTGGAGACCTTAGAATATTGTCTGTAACACAAATCACATTCTGATTTAATGCTTATTCAATAATTAAACTGATATCTTTCTCTTCTATTTTTGTGGAGAGGTTTTCTGGGGTGACAGGAGTTTTTAATTATATTTCTCCAACACAACTAAGGAACAAATTATGGAGTTAGAAGAAGGAGCAGAGAAATTCCCCCAGAAGGCAGCATGTTAAACAAACTATATGACAAAAACTTAATTGACATAGAAGATATATATAAAATTTCTATGATATATTTAATATGATTTCCAGAAAATAACAACTGTAAGTGATATATAATAAAGATAAAAGCAAAAACTTTTCAAAATTGAAAGAAAATATAAACTTTTGAATTGAAAAAAATACTTAGTTCCAAGAAGAAAAAATTGGGGAAAAAAAGGCAAGACCATACTTAAACATACTGAATTTTTTTTTTTTTAATATGGAGTCTTGCTCTGTCACCCATGCTGGAGTGCAATAGCATGATCTTGGCTCACTGCAACCTCCGCCTCCCAAGTTCAAGTGATTCTCCTCCCTCAGACTCCCGAGTAGCTGGGACTACAGGCACACACCACCATGCCCCGCTAATTTTTGTACTTTTAGTAGAAATGAGGTTTCACCATCTTGGCCAGGCTGGTCTTGAACTCCTGACCTCAGGTGATCCACTCACCTTGGCCTCCTAAAGTGCTGGGATTACAGGCCTGAGCCACCGTGCCCAGAAGTTAAATTTTAGAACATTAATCAAAGGATAAGGCCTAAAACATGTTTGTAGAGAAAAGGATTAGCATTCAAGTTGAAAAGATAAAGCAAATAATTATTAGCATTACAGTTATTGGAAGTTTTTTGAGTCATCTCTATAAAAATGGAAGAGAAAATGATCTCAAACCTAAAATTTTAGACCTAGGCCAAAAGAACTTGAGAAAGAACCAAACCCAGACATTTTGTGTGTGTGTGTGGTCATAAAAGGTTTTTACCTACACATACTCTCTAAAAACATTGATTGGGCAGACAGATATACCTCATTTTGTTATACTTCATTTGATTTTGCTTGCAGATTTTGCATTTTTTTAAATAAATTGAAGGTTTATGGCAACTTGTGTCCAGTAAGTCCATAGGTCCCACTCTTCCAAGACCATGTGCTCACCTCATGTCTCTGCGTCACATTTTGGTAATTCTAGCAATATTTCAAACTTTTTCATTATCACTTGTGATCAGTAATCTTTGATGTTACTATTATAATTGTTTTGGGTCACCATGAACCACATCCATATAAGACAGTGAACTTAACACATAGATGTATGTGTTCTAACTGTTCCACCAATGGCCATTTCTCTGTCTCTTTCCCTCTCCTCAGGTATCCCTATTCCCTGAGACAACAATATTAAAATTAGGCCAATTAATAACCCTACAATGGCCTCTACGTGTACAAGTGAAAGAGTCACACATTTCTTGCTTCAAATCAAAAGCAAAAAATGATTAAGCTTAATGAGGAAGACATGTTGAAAGGTGATACAGGCTGAAAGCTAGGATTCTTGTACCAAATATTTAGGTGAACTGTGAATGCAAAGAACACAATCTTGAGAAAATTTAAAAGAGCTACTCCAGTGAACGCACACATAATAAGAAAACAAAATAGCCTTGTTGCTGATATGGAAAGTTTTAATGATCTGGATAGAAGATCAAACCAGCCCCAAGATTTCCTTAAGCCCAAGCCTAATCTAGATGAAAGCCCTAACTATCTTCAATTATATGAAGATAAGAAGGAGGAAGCTGCAGAAGAAATGCCTGAAGCTAACAGTGGCTGGTTCACAAGGTTTAAGAAAAGAAGCCATCTCCATAACAAGAAACTGCAAGGTGAATCAGCAAGTGCTGATACAGAAGCAGCATCAAGTTACCCAGAATATCTAGCTAAGACTAATGATCAAAGTGGCTGCACTAAACAGTAGATTTTCCATGCAGATGAAGCAGCCTTCTGTTGGAAAAGATGCCATCTAGGACTTTCCTAGCTAAAAAGGAGAAGTCAATGCCTGGCTTCACCAAACAAGCTTACTCTCTTTTTAGAGGCCAGTGCAGCTGGTGAGCTGGTGACTTTAAATTGAAGCCAGTGTTCATTTGTCATTCTGAACATCTTAGGGTCCTTAAGAAGTATGCTAAATCTACTCTGCCTGTGCTCTAAAAATGGAACGACAAAGCCTGAGCAACAGCACATTTTTTTAGAGCATGTTTTACTGATCATTTTAAGTCCAATGTTGAGAGCTACCAGTCAGAAAATAATATTCCCTTTAGTTTATTACTTCTCATTGACAATGGACCTAATAAACCAAGAGCTCTGATTGAAAAGTGCAAGTAGATTGATGTTATTTTCATGCCTGCTAACAAAACATTTATTCTGTAACTATGTATCAATAAGTAATTTTGACTTTCAAGTCTTGTTATTTAAGAAACACATTTTGTAAGACCATAACTGCCATTGATAGTGATTCCTTTCATGGATCTAGGCAAAGCAAATTGAAAACCTTCTGTAAAGAATTTACCATTCAAGATGTCATTAGAAACATTTATAACTCATAAGAAGAAGTCAAAATGTCAACATTAACAGGAGTTTGTGATACAGACAGGAGGCAGTGAAATACTGGATAGAAGAGGGTGGTTCCCTGGCAAAGGCCCTACCCTCAAGCCTGGAAACCTTTGGCCCCGAGAACAGGCATTCCTGTTTTAGCACCCAAAGGTTGCCTTTTCTTAGACCACTCTGGCCTGCCACACCCCTATGCTGTGCCCACATAAACCCCAAGCTCCACGAGCAGAGGTACAGAAGAGCAGAGGAGCTGCAGAGTGGCATGTCAGAGAAGGAGAGAAGAGAAGGAGCACCTGAACATCGAGAGGAGTTCGGCTGGGGATGGTCTGAGAGGAGACTGGATGCGGGACGGCTGAACTCCAAGGGGAGATCATCGTTCCACTCCAACCCTGTTCCAGCTCCCCATCCATCCCACTGAGAAACACCTTCATCACTCAGTGAAATCTCAGCATTCACCATCCTTTAAGTCCAGGTGACCTAATTCTTCCTGGATGCCGGACAAGGACCTGAATATCTAGAGGGCAGGGTGTAAAAGGCTGTCATCCTGACTCTCCACTGAGCTGGTTTAACATTTAGCCATCTGCAAATGGCAACTGCTGAAAGAAAACTAATTGCAACACACCGCTAGACTCTACTACGGGGCCAGAGCTCAAAAGCACTTGCCCTGGCTCCTGCACCGGGCTGTCTTCATGTTCCCCCTGCCATAAGGGGTTTGAGGAAGCAGAGCAAATGAGCCTCACTCCTGTTAGAAGTCCCATGAGGAGGTCAGGGAACTTTCCAGTTTCATTTGGAAGAAGCTAATTCCAACTTCATAGATGATTTTGAGAGGTTCAAGATTTCAGTGGAAAAAACTAATTGCAGATGTGGGAGAAATAGCAAGAGAACTAGAATTAGAAGTGGAGCATGGAGAACTGACTGGGTTGCTGCAACCTCATAATAAAATTGAATGAATGAAAAGTTGCTTCTAAGAAATGAACAAAGAAAGTTTCTTGAGGTGGAATCTACTTTTGGTGAACATGCTGTGAACATTGTTGAAATGACAACAAAGGTATTAGAACATTCCACAAACAGTCAATAAAGCAGCAGCAGGGTTCGAGAAGACTGATTCCAATTTTGAAAGACGTTCTCCTGTGGGTAAAATGCTATCAAATAGCAGTACATGCTACACAGAAATCTTTTGTGATAGGAAGAGTCAATTGATGTGGCAAACCTCATTGCTCTCATCTTTTCAAAAGTTGCCACAGCCACTCCAGCCTTCAGCAACCATTACCCTGATCAGTCAGCAGACATCAGTATGGAGGCAAGACTTTCCACCAGCCAAAAGATTGGGACTCACTAAAGGCTCAGATGACTGTTAGCATTTTTTAGCAATAAAGTATTTAAGTTAAGATATGTACATTGGTTTTTTGCCATAGTGCTATTTCACACTTAATTAACTGCAGGATAGTGTAAACATAACTTTTGAATGCACTGGGAAACCAAAAAATTCACACGACACTTTATGATACTATTCGCTTTATTGTGGTGGTCTGAACCTTAACCCACAACATCTCTGAGGCATGCCTGTATATTGTATATTCTATTAAAATTAAAAATAAATTGAAGAATAAGAAAATATGAGATATAAGAGTAAAGACACTAATAACACAGTAAAGCTTTGTGATATATAAAAAGATTGAAATAACATGCCAAATAATCTTAACATAGGAAGTTATCAGGGAAGGAAATAAGAGGTAATTATAAGCACTTGAAGCCTTTATCTAGGAGTATGTCTAAAAATTGACCTTAGATCAATGTTTAAGAAATATAAGATGAAAAATGTATGTTAAATGTTTATGATAAGCACTATAGGGATAATTAGTATGTTAAGTTGCCAGAAAAATTATGTTGATCTGAAAAAAAAGAGAAAAGAAGAGCGGAAAGAAGAAATTAACAACATAACAAAAAAGAGTAAATTGAAATAAAAAAATGATAAACATAAACTATATTCACAGGTTTAAATCGATTATTTTTTTTTCTTAAACAGAGAACCACAGTCAAAGTAAGAAAAAACATGTATTCCAATTACAGGGGTGATGCCTAAAACAATGTGTCAGTATGTGAAAATAAATGCAAAAAAAAGCTACAACAGGAAAAGACAAGCAGGAAGAAAAAAAAAGGCATACAGATACAGATTTTACTACAAAAATAAAATTTAAAGTGAAAAGCAACAAACAAAAATGATTTAAATGTATTCAAGAAGGATAAAACTAAATAGAAAAATACATAAAATATTCTAAAGATGTCAACTATATGTCTAAAATGTTACTAAGTGTATATCTGCTGCTGGGTTCTGCCAAATTTTTAGGCAACAGTGTATTACTATGTAATACAAGTTAGGTTCTAAATCCTCATCCAATTATCCAGTTAATTCCTGGGTAATACAGTGATGGAAAGCCTCCCAATTTAGGTTATAAGACTGGCAAAACTATGATGTTGAAACAGTAAGGGTAGTACCAAAAGTTAAAACTCTAATCTACTATCGCTTAAAAATGTAGATGAAAAAAATGTTACATACAATAGTACTGGACAGAATTTGGCAGTAAAATAAATGTATAAAGGAATAAAGCATAAAGAATAACACATTGAGACCAAGTGCGTTCAACTCAAGAATATAAGTACTGGTCAATATTAGGATTGAAAAAACAACCACCACCTAAATGTGGCTAATCATTACAGGAAGTAACCATTGCAGTGATACAGGCCAAAAAATAAGAGAAAGATCGTACACAATGTAGATGCAAGCTGAGGGAGTTCACAGGAAAAAAAAAACAAAAAACAAAACACCAGAGCACACATAGAGGATGTACCCTTGGGTTGGAAGAGAAGCTCATTCTCTAAAACTGTAGGGAAGAAGTAACTGTGATGGGAATATGGGTAAGTTTAAATACACTGTAGAAGGGCTGAAAGTTGAGGGTAATCATGCAAAAGCTATTCAACCACCTTCCCCAAATTAAAAATAGATTTTGCACTACAAGTTCTGGGCTTGTGGTTTGAGTGGGTTATTGAGTGGGTTTGAGTGAGTTGAGTGTGGTTTATCATTCCCCTCAAGTAGTAAACATTTAAAGATTGCTTTTAGGGAAATGGAAAAGGAAGCCAACAGCTGCAAAGTAAAAGGCCAGTCAGAATTACTGAAGTTCCTGCTGGAATTGGAGGATTAATTAATATGGTCATTATTAGTATTAATCAGAAGAGTTGCAAAACTTGCTTGTTTTTAAAGCCATGTGACCGATGTTATTGTTCTAGAGGTGAAAGTGTAATTATTCTTTAGCTTTATTCTCTGATTAGGAAAAATGTTTTCACGGGCCTTTTCTATGTGAAAGAATGGCTCTAAAACAACACAGATGAAAAAAATAAAAAAGTGAAAGAGAAAATGCTCTAAACATCATACTTGCTTCAAGGTGTGGAGCTATGGATTTGGGATATTCCGCAAGAGAGGACCCTGGGATTTGGCCATGAGTGACCAAGAAAGGAGCTGTAATCTGAGGGAGGAGCATGGTTAAGCGCAACTCTGTGTTCTGTGTCATAAAAATGACAGTCGAGGTTTCTGTGAAGAGGACTGGATGGCAAATTTTAGGAGCTGTCATATCTAATGATGTCTATTTTTAATATCTTTTCTGCATTCTGATTCCCTTTTTTATCTTCATACCTTAGAAATTAACAATAACAACTTTTATTCATGATGCTTTGGAAGGAAGTTGTCATACGCCTCTTCAAGTATTGGGACCAAAGTAGATTAGAACAAGTTCAGAGACCACCAGGTAATCAGGAGAAAGAAAGAACATCAGGCAAGAGCAAAAGGTGGCAGGTAGCACCCCAGACATGTTAGTTTCCCCTCAAAGATGCCTAGAAATGCTAATGGAGACATAATAATTTTAATAATACAATAATTTTCTGGACATATAGGATGGAGACTCAATACTTAGAATTTTGGAGGAAAAGGGATAACAGAAACTCTGAAAACCTAAAAGTTTTCTAATTATCTTAATTAGTAGTGACACCAAAACAAAGCATGATTTCTGAGTTCAAAGGCCATACAAATATTCTGTGGTCAGCCATCCATGGGATCATGCAAATGTGATGTAAAAGAAAAGGAGAGCAGTTACTAGAGTCTCAATTTAAAGCATGTTTAGGAACACGGAGTTGTTTGTGTCACCCATGCCCCAGGAAGTAGGTGCTCCATCACCAGCTGCACAAATGCTTCCTTAGATTCATGACAGGTTTTACCTTATCTGAGAAAAAAATAAAACAAGTTTTCCCAAAAGATGACTTCTTTGAATGCCATGAAGATGTAATTGCAAAATATCAATTATAATATGGACACATTGGTCCCACTTTCCTTAGAATAAGATTCAGGGATCTGTAAAATTCCAGGGTCAGCTATAGAAGAGATTCCATTCTCTGACCCCAAAAAACATCTATCTAAGGAGGAGGATGGATTCCAGATAATATTTTTCCAGACTACTTTAACTCCTGCAAGTCAGCTGGGGTTTACTTGGGTCAACAATTCAAGCAGCAGGGGCCCCTAGAGCATTATCTTTTCTTTGATCCTAGCAACGCCATGTGGATTGATTTTAAGGTATGCCTGTTCTTCAAAAGGCTTGATCTCTAGCTTAAGAATGTGAGCTAAGTAGGGATTTTATAGGAATTTTTGTGGCTTTAGGAAATAAAACATAAGAGACTCCCTGCCTCTTACAGTCTTCTGTAAATCTCCGTCTCTAATTGTTTCTCCCCTTCAAAGCAAATTCCCATGCACTTCATAATGCAGAGTCTCCAACAGGCATGTGTCTAATTACTCTCCGCCATCCAGGCGCAGTTCAGAATGAAATGATTAGCAGTATTTGTTGTCAGGTTGTCTCCGGGAGATGACAATTTATATCAAATCACTATGTGTCAAAAATAGGAGGCCGTGCCAAGGTGGAAACGCAATTCCACAGTTCCCAAAAGTGGATAAAATTCTCAGCTCGACGTGTGACGTTAATGTGTTTGCTGCTTAGAGAGAGGGATCTGGCCTTTTCAGGCAGCCAGACTCTCTCTTGCACCACCACCCACCAGCTGATAAAGCAAGTTGCATTTGCCCAAAGCTATTTGCTGTGATTATTCAGAGCCCTCCTCACTCGCTCCCCACCTGCTCTCTCTCCAATCCCATCTCTGCCAACTCAGAGCTCCTGGCTGTACTCTTCAAACTTAATACTCCCTTTTGCCTTCTGGGCTTTTCTTCTTTTTAGCATCTAACTAGCAACTAGCCCTTTCAAACTCCAGCTTGAACTTGGTCCCAGACTCTTCTATACTACCTTTACTATGATATTCTCAGAAACCAAGCCCTGGGACCAACAGTTTGTATGTATAAAGCCAAGGCTATGTCCTCCCTGACTCCCTTGTGATGGAATTCAGGATTATTTTTATTTTCTGAATAATGTTACATTTGCTTTAAAGGTTATCCATTAAAAGACATATTTCTCATAATAAAAACCCCAGGTTCAATGGACACACAGGTGAATTCTCAAAACTATTATGGAAGAAGTAAAACAAATATTTTATAAATTCTTTTACAAAATAGAAAAGGAATTCTTTCTTACTTTTTATCAGGCCAGCATAACCTTGTGCTATAGCCTGAATGTTTTTGTTCCTCCAAAATTAAAATGTTGAAATCTTAATTCCAACCTGATGTAGTAGGAGGTGGAGCCTACCTATGGGAGGTGATTAGGTTTCACCCTAATGAACAGGATTAGTGCCCTTATAAAAGAAACCTGAGGTCTCCCTCGCTCCTTCAGTCATGTGAGGACACAGAGAGAAGACGATTGTCTGTGAACCAGGAAGCTGGCCCTCACCATTTATAGAGGCCCTCAGCCTCCAGAACTGTGAGAAATAAATTTGTTGTTTATAAGCCACCCAAGCATATGGTCTTTTTGTTATAGTAGCCAGAATGAACTAAAACATCTTGATTCTTTTTTTAATAGAACATTTGACATTGATTGAAAATGTTCATGTAGAAAGGAAAGAGGAGAGCAGCTACAAGCCAGAACCAAACGTCAATTTAGTTCTTTTTGTAACAGCTTTATTGTCTATTACCTTGATCATGGTGATGGTATTGTAAGTGTTTGCATATGCTCAAACTCAACAAATTGTACACATTAAATATGTGCCGTTCTTTGTATATCAGTTATCCAACAGCATCACTCTTAACAAATGTAAAAACAAGGCAAGGCAAAACAACTTAACCATAATAGGAATTGGGGGTCATTCTCTTCTACCATTCTATCATACTCCCAAGGACCTTGTTACTATATTGCTGTGACTCACCATTTCCAGGTAACACAAAAGAATTATACCACCTTCTCTTTCAAGTTTTTTGTCATTTTCTGTCCTCTAGTGTGGCAGTCCCCAACCTTTTTGGTATGAGGGACTAGTTTCGTGGAAGATAATTTTTTCACAGTGAGCAGGGAGGGGGATGGTTTTGGGATAAAACTGTTCCACCTCAGATCATCAGGCATTAGATTCTCATAAGAAAACGCAACTTAGATCCCTTGCACGCACAGCTCACAGTAGGGTTTGTGCGCCTACAAGATTCTAATGCTGCTGCTGATCTGACAGGAGGCGGGGCTCAGGTGGTAATGCTGGCTCACCTCTGATCTGACAGGAGGTGACGCTCAGGCAGTGATGCTGGAAGCCATTAGCCTTCTGCTGTGCAGCCCAGCCCCTAACAGGCCACAACTGGTACAGGCCCACAGCCTGGGAGTTGGGAACACCTGTTGATATTAATTCTATTAATAGTTACATAAAGAAAATAAGTCACTCCACCGATTGAATCTCCCCTCCAACTTTGATTATACTTTTCCTGTATCATTTAGCAACCTCTTAATCCTACTTTTCAATACGTATCACCAAAACAGGAGGACTTTATTAAGAACAGAGAGATCTACCAAGATAAGATGAAGAGCCAGGAATGATACCATTTGCTTCTGAACCCTTTTGACCTTTTGGAAAAGGAGAGAGGGGATAGGAAATGCACAATGTCTTTCAACATTTGCTCCCCTGAGCGCTTCCTCACTTGTGTTCAGAACTCACAAGAGTTTGTTTTCTTCCTTTGTTGTAATCACAAATATCCCAAAGATGGCAAATTTCAAGAAAGAAAAGTATCTTCAAATGATATCGATTGTGACTAAGCAGCTACTCTCAATCTATCTGAGACAACATTATGATTTCTGGGTTGCATTTTGGAGAATAGCATCAGCAATTATAAGGTATACAATTTGATCATAGAATAAGTGGTTGAAATTCAGGAAATTGCAGGGAAGCTATCCTTGAAATCAAATATTTCATTTGATCCTCTACTATTTCTTAAATCATCATTCATACCAAGATGATGCACTTGTTTTTTTTGTTTTTTTGGTTTTTTTGGTTTTTTTTTTTTTGAGACAGGATCTCTCTTGTCTCCCAGGCTGGAATGCAGTAGTACAATCATGGCTCACTGCAGCCTCTGCTTCCTGGGCTCAAGCAATCCTCCACCTGAGCCTGCTGAGTAGCTAGGACTATAGGCACCCACCACTACACCTATTTTTTTTTTTTCTGTATTTTTTGTAGAAACAGGGTTTCATCGTGTTGCCCAGGCTGGTCTTGAACTCCTGGGCTCAAGCAATCTGCCCGCCTTGGCCTCCCAATGTGTGAGGATGACAGGCGTGAGCCACCTTGCCAGGCCCCAAGATGCACACTTTATAGAAGCGCAGTAGATACCATAACTTGGAATAGTTACAACTCTTGGCTTCCAATGTTTAGTATCTTCCTTTTTTTTAGAATTACTTTCCCAGCAACTTTTCCTTCTACCTTACCACTTCACAAGTCAATTTTCCCACAACTTACCAATGAGTCTCTGGAAAATAATGCCATGATCCACTGTGAAGTTAGTAGTTATGAGTTAACATTCCATTTACCCCAAACCTACCTTCCCAGAGAGCACCACCTGGTCAATAGAAATCAAGGTTTGAGGCTGTTTTAGTCTCTCATTACTCAGAGGCTGTACCTCTCCTGACATGTGACATAAGAAGAGGACTGTTTCTTTCTGGCCTGAAGTTATGAACAATACTCATGCCTAAAAACAAGTTTAAACAGGTATTTTTTTTTTAATTTATATCGCGCTTGATTTTTCTAAAATGTACTGGGCAACCCAGATCTGTGGCTTATGTGTGTTCAGCATTCTGAATTCATTGCTATGGAAAATTAAGCTGAAATGACGCAAGGCAAAACACAATTTGAAATATCAAGCTTTTGCCATGTGCCTTTGAGCTATCCTCAGTGCGAGCTGAAGCATTTATAGAACCTCTTATTGCCTGCTTCCAAACTCCAGTCTTATAAAGTAACAGGGTATGCCTTTTGCCCTTTGTGTTGCGAGGTTATCTAATTTCCATTCCCAGATGCACGTGACGCCTGCTCTATTTTTGTCTTTAAAATAAATCTGTTGCCTAAAGCTAAATATACAGTACTTTGAACATGGCAATGAAGTTATTTTTAATTTGTCCTTTCCTTTTAATTATGCTGTTGGTATTATTTTGTAGGTACAATTTGCAACATTTTTGCTGCCACCTACAGGCACCCCCTGAGTACCACCTGTGATGTCTTGGGGTAGGTGTAGAATTACCTGTTTACCTTGAAATGGAAATTTTGCTGAATATCTAACCATTATTTGTCAGCATGGATATTTGTGTGTTGAAAATGTTTCTTTAAACAATACCTACATCCTTATTTATTTCATGAAAATAATATCTGCAAGATCCTCATAAAATCAGTAAATAGGACAATCTCTGCAAACATAAAGAATTCACTCGGGGACAGTACAAGAGAAATCCTACACAAATGTGTTCTTAATCGTTTCCATAAGTAATAAAATCAGCATGTTTATGAAAAACCTAAATACATAATTGATCAAAGCAATTTTCACAGTTTAAAATTTATTAGCTATGAAAATAGCTGATGTGAAAAGGAAGGTTCAGAGAAAAAAAAAATCTAAGTCTTTTAAGGAGTAATTCTCTCTCATCTTGACAACTATTACTGACTGCACTGAGCTAACTCTGAAATAACCACACACAAAAAGAAAACCAGAGAGAGGGCAGCTCTGGAGAGACCATTTTACACATACACAAAAGGAAAGAATGAAAAAAGATTTTACTAGTGTCCCAGAACCCTCTCATGAATCTGAGTCCTCTGTGAGGCAGGGAGAGAGTCCAGCACTTTGGGACCTAAACAATGTTTCTCTCTGCGAGAAGTTGGCCTCCAAGTAGAGAGATGAGTTGTTTTGGAATATGCCAGTGATTTTTAAATAACTCTGTGTAGACAACCCATTACTTTCTTTAAAACTTTTTACCATTTCTTGTCTCAATATACACCACCTCTTAGACTGAAAGTCTCACAAAGTGATGGGGAAGCTGTGTTTCACCTTCTTAGTCTTTATGACTTGCGTCTCTTGGGCCTAAAACCCCAGAATTTTGTATCTTTTTTACAGAATACATAGCAACCTTTGACAGTTTAAGAGGAACCCTATATTTCTGTGTACAAATCATTTTATCTCTCTGTGTAGTCTTTGTTTATTCAAGAAACTAGCATTCATTTATTTACTCGAGGAAACTAGCTTAGTTTGTTCCAAGCTCTATCTTTGATGCTAAGGATCTATAGATGAATATGACATAGCCTTTACTACAAGGTGCATACTATATTATAGAGGTGACAGAATCAAGTAAGTGCAATGCAATGTGCTGAGGATTGTGATAGAGGTAAGTACTGCACAACAGTAGTGCAAAAGAGGAGGATCACCTCTCTGCTGGAATGAAAAGCACCAAAAGGTAAAGGGATAGGGGAAATGACAAATACACTGGGAAGAATCGACAGCATTGCTTTGGCCATTTCTTTCAGGTCTTCTTTCCCTCTCCTTTTGTTTCTTGCCAAAGGAAGAATTTTTTATATAAAATAAAAACTTTGATATTGTCAAGCATAGCCTTGACAATATCAACTGAAACTCAGTGCTTAGCACTTGAATTGCCACATAGAAAACTCCCATGAATAATTCATTGCCAATGCATTCTCCAGTCTTATCATTTCAGTTGCAAATAATCCAGAACTGTGCAACACACCAAACCTTCCCCATCACACTTTCTACCATGAAGGTCAGCAGAAAAGAGACTTGATCAGCACCAGAGTCATTAACTGAATGTTACTTGAGTGGACATTGACACTGTGATCCCTCAGTTTCTTACCCAAATACTAAATCTTGCTGTTTTTTCTTTTTCAATTTGTATTTTGCCCCCATTTTTAAAATTTTAGCAATTTTAAGATTAATTATGTAAACTAAATATTTATAATATTTTCATTTAGGAAAACAAAACTTTTTTCCATTATAAAATAAAATATAAATAACAACATTTTATTTCAACAGTCATATTCTCAGAAATTTCTGTATGTCTAAGATTCTATGAGATATTGTAAATGAGTATGATCTTTGGATACATTTCTTCTCTATAAGGAGTGTTCAGGTTCATAGGGAGAAAAAATAAAAAATATTATAGGACTATACATAAAAGCAGACAGGTTTGCTACTGGGAAATTTTGAAATTGATAAAGACTGTCATTAATGTCTCTAAATTCCTTTTTGTACTCTTTTCTGATTTTCTCAAAGTATTTTTTTCTTTCTTCACTATGCATGACAATCATGGCAATCTCCAGATCATCAAATAATAATGCTGCTCAAAACCCCCAGTCACCCTCACTGTGAGGGAGG